>NC_000006.12:92002015-92152954 GCF_000001405.40 Homo sapiens | reverse complement strand
GAGAAGAAGTCTGTATATAGGCCTTGTTATCTTATGTTTCTAACTGACTCATGGCTATAAACAATTAATAAGTTCCATTCCTGGAGTCGTATCCCAAGACCAAAGCCAAATACCATAAAATACACCCATTTTAACCTCCTGATCAAGTATCTTTGGATTTTTCTTTTATGAACTATCAAGCATTAAAGTCTAGTTGAATGGTGATTATACAACTAATGGAAATGGTTCTGGCAATAAATTGATAATTACAGTAAATTCTGAATGCCTCTACATCATAATTGTTCCACTTATCACACAGTTATAAATTAGATAAGAGTTTCTTGCACTTGGGGCTGTGACCTGATTATATGGCATATAAAGTGAGGCTAATGGGAAGCTTAGAGTAAACTGCATGTGAATAGAAGTAACTATTAAAAAATACAATCTACTATTTGTCATCTTAAACAGTACCTATTCAGACCATTGCCAAAGTTTATGTTAATTTTTGCTCTTAGTTATTCTTCAGGCTTTTTTTTCCTCCCATTCAACATATATTTTTTGGCTCATAGTTGTCCATCTTTTCCCTGCATCCTCACGTGGCAGAAGATTCAAGGGAGTTCTTTGAGGTCTCTTTTTTAGAACACTAATCCCATTCATGAGGGCTCCTCTGTCATGACTTGATCACATCCTAATGGCCCCACCTCCTAATATTGTCATGAAAAGATGGCCAACTATGACCACTGAGTGCTTATTGCTTTTTCTAAAAGTCATTTCAATTCCATAGGAAGATTCTGAACTAACCATTTTAACTAGAGCATCCAGCAAAATCCATCAAATGTAACACAAATTACTTAACTACTTTCAGAGTTAAATCCCATTTTGTAATAACAATTTGTTGAGACCTTTAAAATAAATCAAAAATATAAAGCCTAATGATCTGCCTTAGTTTGGTGGTTCATGTTTCTTATAGATATAAATTAAGAGTTATTTCGAGTAAACAGTCAATGGATGAGCTTCAAGAGATACATGATCATATTAAATTTATATTCAATTTTATGGTGTAAGCTTATGAGGAGCATTGGCAACTCATCAGATTACCAAAGTGTTCATGAGTTCAAAAGGTTAATATTTAAATAAAACACATTTCTGCCATGAGATGTGATTGATTTTCTTCCCATTTACCACCACACCAATGAATAAATGATTGAAGGGAATCTTGATTAATCTGGGCATATTCATATAATAGAAATATTAGAAATCATAATACCTAAAAATTGAGATCACATTTTGTAGTAGAAATACTCTTTGAAATAGGTGTATTATTTTCCCCAGTTTTCAAAGGGAAAATGTGAGGATTAGAAAGATTAAGTAACTACTCTGCAGCCATACAGTTTATGAGTGACAGAACTATAGTTTGGACTCAGTCTGCCTGATTTAGAGCTTGGGTGCACCCTTAGACAAAATGTTCTGTTGCCTATCCACTTGACCTTAAGGTGACTCAGGATGTTTTTTAGACTGAAGCACCAAGATCCACTCTTAGGAGATGCTATAGACTGAATGTTTGTGTCCTCCCAAAATTTGTATGTTGAAATCCTAATCCTCAAAGTGATGATATTAGGAGATGAGGCCATTAGAAGGTGATCATGTCATGAGAGAGGAGCCCTCATGAGTGGGATTATTGTTCTAAAAAAAGAGACCTCAAAGAATTCCCTTGCCTCTTCTGCCATATGAGGATGCAGGGAAAAGATGGCCAACTATGAGCCAGAAAGCAAGCCCTCATCAGACATTCAATTGTCCAAGTACCTTGATCTTAAAGCTCCCTGCCTCTGGAACTGCGATAAATGAACTGTCGTTTATGTTAAGTCACCCAGTCTGTGATATTCTGTTTAGCACCCCAAACATACTGAGAAGGGGCAAAAGATTTTGAAAGGCAGTGGTGCCCCTTACCTCCCAATTAACAGGAGAGAGTAAAATATTAGTTAGTTGAGATTAAGATGGTTTACTGATGAGTTTCCCATTCATCAAACTGAGGAATTCAAGACATCAAGAATAATGAAACAACTAGTCAGAACAGGACAAAAATGGTCTTTTCCACTCTGCTCTATGAATGGCACAACAGGTGCTTCCTAATACAAAGTGGTAAAAGCTGCTAACTCTTAGGTACCACATGGAAAATCAAAAACTAAGAAAATTATTGGGCAATCCTGAATGTGTGACTCAATAAGTACCATATGGAAAATCAAAAACTAAGAAAACTATTGGGCAATTCTGAGTGTGTGACTCAAGAAATCAATAGAAAAAAGAAAAACACTACAAAAAACTGTTCCCTGTCTCCTTGATGGAAAAAGAGAAAATAAATCACTAGTTGGACTTCACAAATGTATTAGTGAGAGAGCATGTATATCTGGGTGGAGGCTGGTGATGGTGAATGAAGAGACTGGAGGTAATGTGGAGCTATGGTAGACTTCAGTGGTGAAGGGAATGCTTTTTTATAATTTCTTTTTTGAGAGGAATTAATATTTTAGTTTTCGGTATGAGATAGTAAAAGCAGAATCAGCTCCTGATTAGAAGAATAAGCTCCATAAAAACAAAACAACTTGAGATTACAGGTGCTCGGTGAATCCAGCCCAGGGTTGTCATTTCTGCTTTGTCCTGAGTGCTATTTGGAATTGAAAGGGTGAAATGAAATAATGCACTTCTTTCTCTTGAATAAAGATTCAGAATATCACCTTCGTGAATTCTATCTTTACTTTCCTCGCCAAGTATATCCCTGGGAGAAACGATTAAGAAACAAGCAAGCAAACAAACAGCAAAATATGGGTATGGAGAGATTTTCAGGACTAGGTCATTCATAAGTTTCAAACTTAGTGCAATTCCCAGCATACAGACTAACCAAAGGGAGAGAATTACTTTTGGAAAACTCAGTAGACACTCTTATTAGGGTCTAATAAGAAATCAGTGTTAAGCTTCAACAAATGAATTCTGGAAGAACATAAACATTTAGTGTTAGCCTATGATATTTCTACAGATTGGAGCATTAAGGCTCCAATTCAATTCTATAGATTGGGACATTATCAAAACATGAAAATAACATAGAAAATTCTTTATTGTCAAAGTTTTTATTATGTTTTTAATAAAAAATGCAGATTATGAAATTTTGGTTAACGAATTTTTAAATTACAGTTATCACTGATGATTCTATACACTTCTTAGTTAGGGATCATTAAGTTGTATGGGATAGAATCCATCTCTTTCTAGCTTAAGTAAAGGTATTTTTCTTCTAATGTCAAATTAGGATATTCCCATAAGAACTAAAAGCCAGTGGTAAGGAATACAGTAGATTTAACAGGTAACTGCTCTTTGTATCTCTTAGATTAAACAGTCTCTCATATTTGCTTCCTCTGCACAGTGCCTCATGTATCTTCATCAATTTTCCAAGAGTTTCTCTATTTAATGAACTGTCTGGGCAGTTTGCATGTGGCATTAAGACCAATGGAATTGAGAGGCATGCTCAGTATTCACATTTTTTTTTTTGGCTAGAATATATAGACATAATAGAGATAGGTTAAGTATGAATCCCTTCCTCAATAATTTACTAAAATAATAATTAATATCAGAGAATAAATAAATGATTATAGAATAGTATGATTATGTGTTAGAAGTTTTTCAAAAATTCCTGTTAAATCCAGACAAAAGGATGACCTTATTCATCTTAAGGTGTTGTGCTTTAGAAAAGCTGAGAGAAAAGTTTGTGCAGAAAAGTGACATAATCAAGACCTGTCTAATATGTGTCTTCTATTTCCTAATCTCAAAGTTTAGAGTGAAAAGCAACAGAAATATTTATGAGCAAAACTTTAATTGATTCTATTTTGTACTTCTATCAGTCCTGTGACCCTCCTTCTGGAGATAAAAGGCTTAGGGAGAGAAAGAAGGAAAAAGAAAGTTAGGAAACCTTTGGGTACTTCATTTAGACTATTAGGAATTCTTCATTAATTTGCTTAATTAATAATTAATTCTTATTATATGTGAACATATTCTTTTGTTTATTGAGAATAACTGCTTATAGACAAAAAACCCTTCCCTCTCTCATACTCCCTTTCATGGAGCTTCATTTTAGTAAGAGAAAGACAATACAAAATGAATGTCAATATATGACATGATAAAATATAATTATGTTTACGAAGCAAAATATAGCAAAAAAGGACATAGTGAATGCTGATAAGTGTTTGAGGATCATTGCTAGTTTTCAATATGTTATTTTATGTATGTGACACTGGAGCAGAAGCTTGAAGGAAAGGACTGAGAATGAGGATTTCTAGAGGAAGGACATTTTAGAGAAAGAGAACAGCTTGTGCAAAGGCTGTGAATGGGAAAAGTTCTCCTTTGTTCCAAGAGCAGTGAGGTGTTGAATGTGACTGAGACAGAGTGACTGGGCATGTAATAGGAAATTAAATCAAGGATATAAGGTCCAAGGTCATACTGGGTCTGAAGGGCATAGTAAGAGAAAGAGGCATTGTAGGTACTTTGGGTTTTATTCTGAGTAGAAAGTGAATAGTATAACTCTTCAGTGTCTAAAACTAAATTCTAATGTAAGTTGCTTAGCTCAACAAGCAATTCAAACTCTTTAATCATCTCCATGGAAAGCTTTTATTTTGGATTGATTGGTTACAAATCCTGCAACAGGAAGCAATCTCCAGAGTAAGGCATTCTCATTGAAATCAGTAAGCAACACTTTTAATTTTACTACCTGGAGCTATTATACTGAATATTTAAAGGGCAGATTAAAACTCAAGAAATCAGGAATCAGTAATTAATTGGGTTATAGAAACATCAACACCAAGGTCATTAGTTCAAATCAAAGTTGTGGAGACATAATTGTTAACATCTGAAAGTACTTCAGTGGAAATTATGAAATAGAGGTCTGTCTCAATCTCTTTTCCTTGTCAAGAAGCATTCACATGCACAAAGCAAGAATGACCCTGCTTTCGATATTCAATGGCATGGCTTCAGGAAGCCTTTTTGTAGATGCTAAGGTTAAATGAATCTGGAAACTGGCCTATTGGGTTGGAGTAAAATATTTTAGCACAATGCATAATCAAACATTTTCTAAAATGGCATTGGAATGTGTGTTCCCTAGTTGATTCTAACCCTTATTATGCAAAATGCACTGAAAAATGTAATGCAGAACATAATGATTTGATTATGTAACAAAGCTAGTTAAATGTTTTCATTAGCTACACAATATTTTTGCACAATAAAGATAATTGAGTGTTGAAAATGTACTAATTCATTTAATTCCATGAGGCAAAAAATAATAGTGAGGGAAATAACAATATTGTGAGGGACTCTAATTAGTAAAAAATAAGGAAAAATTCAGCTAATAGGCATAGTGTAAATTTAAAGAACAATATGGAAAAAATTAACACTTTTACTCATTGAATTATTTAAAGTTAATAAAGTGATTAGACTTTGCCTTCTTATGAAGTTCAGACAATTTCACCAACTGGTTGAGCAACAGGAAACATTATTCTTTGCCCAATGGAGAAGTACTACACAAGTTATATGTGAGCACATATATAAAGGCTATGTCAGCCCTATGTAAAGAAAAGGGATGGAATAGTGGATTGCCTGAGGTAAAAACTGCATGTAAACAACATAATTCAATAAACTACCACATGGCCTTTTGTCGAGATAGAGTTAGTATATTGTCCAACTTCATAAAAAAGAAATAAAGATATTAAAAATCTTAAGAATATCACATAAAAATGTATTTTTCTTCTTGTTAGTAAGTACTAAAGTGTAAACATTTGGGCAGCATTATCATATAATAGTACTTCTGTTGAATAAAATATTTACATATTTCTCATACTACTGCAAGAACCATAAGTTTCATGCTGCTAGCTTTGTTAGTATTCCACCGTGTATTAGTCCGTTTTCACACTGCTGATAAAGACATACCTAAGACTGGGCAATTTACAAAAGAAAGACGTTTAATTGGACTCACAGTTCCATATGGCTGGGGAAGCCTCACAATCATGGCAGAAGGCAAGGAGGAGCAAGTCACATCTTACATGGATGGTGGCAGGTAAAAAGAGCTTGTACAGAGGAACTACCATTTTTAAAACCATCAGATCTCATAAGACTCAATCACTAACACGAGAATAGTGCAGGAAAGACACCCCCTCATGATTCAATCACTTCCCACTGGGTCCCTCTCACAATACATATGATTTCAAGATGAGATTTAGGTGGGGACACAGCCAAACCATGTCACATGGTATCATACAGTGTGGCAAAATCCTAGTGAAAAAGAAGGTTTCTTATTTTTAATATTTTCCCCAGATATAGCTGAATACTTATTTTCATCAAAATTCAAGTTAAAAGGCCAAAGAGATATTTTAAGGGGAATTCACAAGATAATTCTGAAATTAATCTTGAGGAAGCAATACCTGGACCATTTTTAGGTCTGTTTTTATTGACTGATTTTGTTGTTCATGATGGGTAACATTTTCTTGCTTCATATATCTCTTTATTTTGATTGCATGCTTAATGTTGTATGTAGAAGAATAGTGCAAGTCAATTAATTTTTGTCCTTAAAAGGGCATACTCTTTCATCTGTAAGCTGCTAGCCATCAATTCATTCTAACCTGTAGCTTAGCTGGTTTTGATGTTCCTTTGGTTATATTCAGTTTATCATTGACTTTAAAGATTTGAATATGCAATCAAGACCTTCCATTTTCTTGGTATTAGAACACCAGAAAGACTAAGCAACTTTGTGATTGACACTGCAGCTACCAATTTCCAAACTACTTATGATGTCATTCTTGATTTATATATGTCCTACCTTTCCAGGTTTTTTGCTTGGTGTTTCAATTTGCTGGAGATTTCTCTTTGTTCTCCACTCTTGTCCCTCGCTTTCTGTCCCATAGGAGCTATTTCTTATCTTGTTCTTTTTGCAGACAGTCTTGCAAGACTTTTGCAGTGTGTACAGTGAAGGTAAAGAACAGTTATGGAGGGTTGATCTCAGGACCCCAGTCCTTCTCTTAATGGGTAATGGCAGCTGCTGCCTATTTCTCAGTTCTGTTCTATCATCTGACTTTGTTCCATCAACTGACCTTTTATGATGTACCTTTGGGGGTCATCTCTCCCATCTCCTACTCCCTGTTCCAACTCCATCATGTGAACATTCAGTGATGACCTATGAGAAAGCTAGTGGGTAGGTGCAGAATCTCTTTGTGATTGGGACTGCTCAGTTTTCTAAAGTATTTTACCAGTCAAGTCATGGCCAAAAAAATTGTTAAAAATTTAGCCACTCTCCTTTTACCTCTACCAATAGTTGCTTTCTCATCCTCTTGCTTCTCTATCAGAAATAAAAACCACTGTAAGTCTCTTTTCTCCCAGGAGGGCTTGTCATTTTCTATATTGTAATTTGTTTTAATTTCTTTTTGTTCTCAAATTTCTAATGGGTTTAAAACAAAAACAAAAATAAATTTTACTTTTATAAATTATCCATCTTTCCTGTTGCCGAAGTAGTAATGACATTACTACTTTATACACTTCATTTCTGTTATTCATTAAGATTCTACCTTGTGCAATGGTAATTATGAAATTTAACTAAAATAACACATATGAAATTTACATTATAATTCAAAATGTTACACAAATACGGTACTACTACCTAAAAGGTTACTTTCTTCATCTTTAGCAGAGCAGGAAGCAGAAATTCTGTAATTATTTTATAAAAGAAGATAACCAACAATATAGGATTACAGAAATTATGATGTCATAAATTGTTCAGGCTCCCATAGAAAATTACCATAGACTGGTGGCTTACAAATAACAGAAATTTATTTGTCACAGTTCTGGAGACCAGGAAATCCTAGATCAAGGCACCCACAGATTTGGTGTCTGGTGACAGTGCACTTCGTGGTTCATAGGTGACCATCTTTTCACTTTAACCTCACATGGTGGGAATGGGCAAGAGAGTTTTCTGGGTTCTCATTCATACTAATTTCATTCTTGGGGGTTCCACCCTCACAACATAATCACCTCTCAAAAACACAATTATATTTTGGTTTAATTATGCTTCAACAGATGAATTTTAGAAGAATGCAAATGTCCAGCCTGTAGCATATGATATTTCCATAGATTAGAGCATTATTTGAACATGAAAATAATGGATTATTTATTGCCATACAAGTTTTATATTATTTTTCTAATGACAAATGCAAATTATGAAATTTTAATATTATGGGTATCTCTGGTGGGATATTCGCTTCTTAGTTAGGGATCGTTAAGTTGCATAGGATAGAATCTCTCTCTTTCTAGCCTAAGTAAAGGTATTTTTCTTTTACTGTCCCATTAGAGTATGCTAACAGAAATGAACAGCCAATGGCAGGAAATACAGTAGATTTCAGAGGTAACTGCTCTTTGTATTTCTCTTAGATTAAATAGTCTCTCATATTTGCTTCTCTCTGCATAGAAGAGGCCTATTGTAACTACAAGAATTCTCTGAGTCCCACTTGCAAATATTTAGGAGGGTTTATATGGAAGGTTCAACTTCACTTTCAGCCAAGTGTAACAGCCAAGTGTAATATAGAGTGTAACTCTATATTAGTACAAGTCATGATGTACTAATATAGAGGTTGGGAACATTTATTTTAGAGTGTTATTGTTTTTGTTGCTATTTTAAACTTACTATTTTTCTCCCCATATTAGGATACAATTCTCTTGAGATCAGGAACTTAACTGGCTTACTCTGTTACATTCCCAGTATAGAAGGAACTGCCCTACTCATGTTTTACTCATGTTTTATGTTTAATTAAACTTTTACTATAACAATCTCAAGCCTTTTGTCTGTCATGTAAATGTTATTTTTTATACAGTTCATTTCTGTTATTCATTAAGATGCTACCTTGTGCAATGGTAATTATAAAATTTAACTAAAATAACACCTATGAAATTTACATTATAATTCAAAATGTTACACAAATACTGTACTACTACCTAAAATTATATTAAATATGCATAGTAGTTAGATCTGCTGAACTGCAACGATTAAAAGTGGAATTGGGATTTTTTAAATAGTGTGACTGCATAAATATGAGAACAGATTTAAAATAAATGGTTACTAATTCACTGATAATGTATCAGAATAAATAATCAACACAATGTAGAGTAAAAGTGAAAGAGTTTATGAAGTTACTGGTGATGCAGATGTCTTCTGGAGTGAGTGTTTATTGTTGAATATGTTTCGTTAGGCAAACATAATGGAAAGAGTAGAGAACAATTGAAATTTTGTTAGAGAGTGTGTGATGGTTGTTTGTATGTGTTGACTTGTCTGAGCTAACGGATCCCCAAATACCTGTTTAATCATTTTTTCTGGGTGTGTCAGTGAGGTTGTTTCCAGAAGAGGTTTAACCCAGTGAAGCAGATGGTCCTCCCCAGTGTGGGTGGGCCATCCCATTCATTAAGGGCCTGAATAAAACAGAAAGGGTGAAGAAGGGAGAATTCTCTCTCTCTGCCTAAATGTTTCAGCTGGATAATCAGTCTTCTCCTGTCCTAAGATTAGGACTTTCACTTTTGGCCCTCCAGTTCTGAGGCCTTTGGATTTAAGCTAGAATTCACATAATTGGCTCTCCTGGTTCTCAGGCCTCTGGATTCAGACCGAATATGTGCCACTGGGTTTCCTGAGTCTCCAGCTTACTGAAAGCAGACTGTGGGACTTCTCAGCCTCCACAAGTGCATGAGCCAATTTCTTATAGTAAATCTTTTTATATAGAGAATACACATATGTAAATGTATATGATATATGGCATATGTCTCCTAAGTATCCTATTGGTTCTATTTCTCTGGAGAACCCTGTGCCACTAGCAAGTTCTGCCTTCTCCTTTTCTTTCCTTATTTTATTTGTTCTTTCCTTCTATCCTTCCTTCCTTCCTTCATTCTTTCTTTTCCTTCACAAAATTATATAGGGTGCCTACTAAATACTGGGCTAGGCACCCTTTTTCAGAGCTATGGAGATAGGAATGAATGAAACAAATCTCATTCCCTCATAAAGCTTGCATTTTATAAGAGAGACAGACAATGAACAAATATGTGAGTATACATATATATTTACATATGTTCTATATATATTTACATATAGGCATAGCTAGGTGGTGATAGGTGCAATGAAGAGTTAATGACAGGGAGTAATAGTAGCTGCCGTTTTAGATACACTGTTTACTGATCAAAGGCTACCTCGTACTTGAATGAAGAGAGAGAAAGAACCATACAGATGTGAGAAAAGTGGACCAGGCAAAATATGCATCAGGTGCTTACACTTGGAGATGAGAGCTTATTCATCATCTTCATCTAAGTTCAAGGACTCAGAAAATCTAGAATGGAGTGAAGAGGGGAGTGCATGGTAAAAGATAAATTGGAAATGGTAACTGGGAGTCAGATGATGTGTCACAGACCATAAAAAGGACTTGGAATTTTATTCTAATAAGGGAAGTTACTGGAGAGTTTACAGCGGGAAAAAAAAATGGTCCTACCATAAATCTTAAAAGGATTACCCTGGCTGCTGTGTGAAAAATAACTATGGAGGAACAATAGGGCGTGCTATTGTTCAGAAGGTTGTTCAGGTTAAGGATAATTTTTAACATTGATTTTTGAGAGTGTTGGGGACTTATATCTTCTGTTGTTGCTTTACATGTCATTAGAGTATTATACATAGGATGAGTTTTTAAGACTTCTACCATCAGTCAACAAAAATGCATTTCTTTTACTTATGACACTAAGGTATCAGATAAAAAGATAGAAGAAAAATAAAAATATTGTGTTTTTTTAATTATGTAGTCAAATGCATTATTAGACTGCACCATTTTCAATCTTATGAAAGCACGTAACATTAATAATAGTTTAATGTCAAATTATAATTTTAAAGCACAATTTAAAATATCAAAAATATAAAATATAATATGAAATCATTTATATAATTTATATATAATTATGATTATATATTATGATTATGTAAAATCATATAATCAAATGAATATAAATGTACAAGAAAATATTAGTTTGCTATTTTTGGTTTTTAAAATAATTTGTCAGAAACTCTTACCAAAAGAGATCTACAAATACATCTATGAGATATCTTTTTTAAAGTATCTTTAATGATAACGTAAAGTGAAGAGAATTCCAAGGGCTAGATTGGAAAATATGGGGATGTATCCGGAGCTGTTGATGAACTTAAGGGCAAGGAGTCTTTTCATTTCAAATCAAATGTGATATAATGATTACCATTTCTGGATTTTCTACTTTCTGCCAGCCACTGATCTAAACACATTGTATGCATAAATTCTTTTAATATTCTGCCAATTCACTGCTAAGGAGAATAAATTATGGGCAACCACTACTGACAAATAAGGTCATTTGTTGCATATCTATTTTAGGTAAGTAGCCAATTCTTAATTGGAAAAGTGAAAATATGATTTCACCAGTTTAGTTTTGAGATCATGAGGAAATAATAGAATCTCATGTCTTCCTATTATCCTGGAGAGAAAGACCTGGAAAATATTTAGCTACAATGGTAAAGAAGGAACTAATACACTACAGCTTTATATTTCATTGTTTATTTCCTGCAGCTGCCTTGCAGGAAATGTGTGTATCATATAATTGGGAAGGTGTCCACCAGCAATTACATCAGATGGAATCCATGGGATGCAGCAATTACAGCAGATTGGATTAAGAGCAATTGGATGTTCAATAAGTACTTCTTAATGATGATGATGATGATGACAATATTAAGAATATTGGTGTGACATTTGTGGTGAATAAAAGATTGTTTTCACTCTTTTTAAAATACATTTGTAATATGCCTACTTGAATTCCAATTTCGCAGTGAGAAAGCATCTTTTTCAAGGTCTCTTATATTACAATATGCCAGGTATTGATAAGTGAGCTAAACAATTTATAGTAGCATGATTTAGTTAGATGTCACACAAAGGGCAGTTAACAGTAATCATAATTTTCTTCTATGTAATACATTTCTACAACCTAAAATTAAATTATAAACATTTAAAACTTCACATCTGTCTTAGAACGCTTTGTGCTGCTATAATAGAATATCACAGACTGGGTAATTTATAAACAACAGAATTTTATTTGGCTTATAGTTCTGGAGGCTGGGAAGTGGGAAATCAAGAGGCCATGTTTGGTGAGGACTTTCTTCCTGTGTCTTCCCATGGTAGAAGGGAAAAAAGATTACCTAATCACCTCCAAAGCCCATATCTCCTAATACCATCCTCTTGGGGGTGAGAATTTCAACAACATATAAATTTTAGGGGGGCATAAATAGACCATACCAGGTACTCTCTGTGAAACTTCTTTTTGTGCAATTAATAACAATTTAATTATTTCCTAATTCTGCTTTCAAAATTATTATTGCTATATAAGATAAGTTTGTAATTATAATATTATGGAGAGAAGGATTCTAGCACTGATGGCCATTTTTTAAGTTCATTTCTGTAATATCTCATAGGAGTTGCTGGCCCTGCATATGCATGTAGTCTTCCCTAACATTCCTACTGTAAACATAACCTTTATGGTTTATAACATTTATTTTGCTTTAATAACTGAAGTAAATCCTAGGGATAGAGGTCTCATACATTATCACTTTGATTAAATCTCTACTCCTGATCGTGTCAACAGGGTATTTACTGCAGTCTGTCTTAGGGCATCTATATACAACTCCTTCCTTTTGTGCCATAATGACACCTAGTTAGTTTTGGCATGGATTTGAAGAGTGTAAGATTTTCAACAATAAATCCATACTCTGAACCAATATTTTCTTCTTGTATTTTGGGAAGTAGTGCATTTGTATAACTGATTTTTTTCATCCAATGAGAGAGAAATAAGTGAAAAAGTAAAAGGAATGAAGCAAGACTAGAGAATGTCTGTGTACTTTGAAAAGGCACATTCCAATTGTAAAATTTCCATGCATATAACATGATAACATAAGAAAGTAATTGTTCCATAATACAATCTATAGAAAGTAAAGCTCAACTAAATCTTCTGGCTTGATAGGGATAAAAATTAAGAAAAATTCAACATTCTATGGTTTAGTATTTCTCAGAAGGGAGAACTACATCAGCATTTGGACCTTGGCCCAAGTTTTTGTTATTATCAAAAAGATGTAATAGATTACAGATTACCAACGGAATTAGCCCTGGGCTGTGGCAGATAAGATTGACTAATGCCTGGAATATGACTATTTTAAAAAGTCACTACATTTATTTATGCTTCCAATTTATAGATCATATACACTCATTTGGGAGCATGTCAGATAATGTCTTTCTCCCCTGATTTTACCACCTCTGAATACATTTCCCATCCAACTATTGCAAAGCATCTAGTTTGGGGAAATGCACTGCCTATCAAGGCAGCCCATTCTATATTTGAAATTGCTGCAACTCTTTTCTCTATGGAGCTAAATTTGCTTCCCTGCAACTCCTCCCACTAGTCCCAGATCTACCCTTTGAATCTGAACAAAATTATCTAATTCTTCTTTTCTGTGACAACCCTTGACATAGCTGAAAACAGCTATCATGTCTCCCTAATATTTTATTTTCCAGGCTATTTGCCCATCACCAAAATAAGATTAACTATCCCTGACCTGCCTCATCTCAGAATGGTGATGAGAATGAGGTGAGATAATAGATGTGAAAGTGTGTCAAGAATACAAACAAAAATACATGAAACTTATTGTTGTTAAATTTTAAAACTAATAGATATGAAATTCTAATTTTTCAGTGAAAATATCTTTCACCATAGTATTTAAAAAATTCATTTGTTTACATTTCTGCATTCTTAAGATTGAACTAAATTAGTGGTTGGTTAAAAGATTCAAGAGATTTTAAGAAATCAGAATATGTAGTAATTAGGACAGCTGAAGAATATCAGGGCAATCTCCAGGAAGGATAGAATATGTGCTGAGGAGAAGTTTCAAACCTCTCAAACCTAAAGACTTCAAGAAACACAGCTGAGGGGGCCTCACTGTTGTTGTTGTTGTTGTTGTTTGTTTTTGTTTGTTTGTTTTGAGCATAGTTTCACTTTTGTTGCCTAGGCTGGAGTGCAACGGCGCGATCTCGGCTCATGGCAACCTCTGCCTCCCAAGTTCAAGTGATTCTCCTGCCTCAGCCTCCCGCGTAGCTGGGAATACAGGCATGTGCCACCATGCCTGACTAATTTTGTATTTTTAGTAGATATGGGGTTTCTCCATGTTGGTCAGGCTGGTCTTGAACTCCCAACTTCAGATGATCCACCTGCCTCGGCCTCCCAAAGTGTTGGGATTACAGATGTGAGCCATCATGCCCACCCGGCCTCACTGTTTAAGACAGCATTCCTCTCAATACGAAAACTAACCATTGACCCATTCACCCTGATACAGATCCTACAGATCCCTCAGGTCCTATCACTTTTGGGCTTAAAGCTACCTCTGGCAGCTCTATAGTGATTCACACCTTACAGCATCAGGTTATGGTAAGACTTCATAAATTAAAATACAGCAAAGTGTATAGAACAGTCCCTATCTCATAGCTCAATAAGTTCCAGCTGTGATGACAATGATGACTTACTCAGAACTGAGGCTAGAAGGAGTATCTTCAACTATATACTTTTATAAATTTGTAGACAAAGTTATGAATTGTGGCTACATATATGAGCCAATGAGCACAAAGTTGGCTTTCCCATTTCTCCTCCTATCCTCAGTATCATGGAGAGAGATATGAAATATTATGTACTGTAATTGACTTAGTCATTGGAAAATGATGGTCAATAATGTACTTAAAGGACTGAGTTGTAAATAATATTGACCACATATTACCCTCTCACTACTCGATCTGAGAAGGCCCATTCTTCCTATACCTCCCCAGAAAGTAGGAAAATCACTGTTGAAATTGCTCCACTCAAAGCCAAATATCAAGAATCAGTCACATCACAGTCGAAAGAACATTCCAGTTAGTGATGCCAATGAATTGAAAAAGGAGAGAAAAAATATCAGGATGCAACTATGAGATTATTATACTCACTAATGCTATTCAAAGTCTGAGGGAAAGACAAGTGTTCTATGTGTACAAATTGTCTTAACTGCACAGGCTCAAGTTAGCACTTTGATTAGTAATTCATTTTGTTTCCTCTTGACTTCACCTTTTGCTGTCTAAATCCCTTCCAAACTTCTATCCAAAGTAGAAGAAGCATACCAGGTCGCCGGAAGCTGTCTCTCTAATTACTGTTGTTTTCCTGTGGCTTTCTCATTGCAGTACAGTCAGAAGGAATAAGGGACCCTCTTTTCGGGCCACACTGGAATGGCCCTAGCTCTTTCTGACAAAATGACTAGCTACTTAGCTCAGTTGACCTGCATGATTGGTTCACATCTCCTTGATAGTCACCCACAAATGACCACATGATTTGCATTCCTTCATTTTCATTCTGTCTTGTTTTTCATAGGATCTTGCTGGTGATAAAATTGCTTCTGGATTTTCAGTTTAAATCATTCTATTTTACGTATTTTTTTCGGTGCTTTCCTGATTCCCTCACTAAACTCCTTTTCTAATCAATACTATCCACTCAAAATATAATAGACTCTGAGAAGTGCATTCTTGAATTTTTATGGCTTAGTTTTATGTTCTCTTTTTCTAATATGAAACATCTCTTTTTCTCATGGTTCTAAATTTCTGGTTTCCATATGATGCAGAGTTTACTATGATGTTGCTTTATTATATGATCCAGAATCCATCTGCACTCTGTAATTAGGCTCACTGAGTTTGTTAGCTCAGAAACTCCAGAAGCTGGAATTCTCCCTCCAGGGGCTTGGATATAACAGAATCTTTTTGCCCCTTTATCCTGGAGGTCAGACCAAGGAGCTCTCACTGGGCCTCCACAGGCTACAGTCATCTTTTACCCTTAAAATTATCCTATTTTGTTTTTCCATGATTGTGATCGAGATGTTGGCCAAGGAATACCCATTTTTTTTCTGAATACTCCTTCTGTATCTCAAATATATAATCTATATTTAGTGGATTTCTGCATCCTCTCTTCATTGATGGTCTATGTGGACAAGAAATGTCATCAGCAGATAAAATACCAATAAATGGTAAATAGTTAGATCCTCTATCAAACAGGAAAGCATGAATGTAATGAGTTATGTTTTGATATCAAATTACATATATATATTCTTATATAAATTATTATGCCTATAAGCTCTATTGACTTAAATCAGATATAGATTTGACATACCACTGTCAGGCTTTCAAAGATTATGTGAATTCAGATGAATAAGAATATACAGATTCCCATGAATATACCTAATAAAACTGGTATCTTACAAAAAGTTATTCTAAAAATCAAACCTGATAGAAAATTTTAAAACAAACCTCAAAATAATGTTAGGGCCAAAGAAGGAATCAAAATTGCATTTACAAGCTTTTCATAACATGATGGAAACAAGAAACTAGTATATCAAAACCTATGGAATGCTTTAAGGAAAGCACTCAGGAAAATATTCTTAACATGAAACATAGATTTCTAAGCACCAAGCCATTTTAAAAACTTAGAAAATGATAACAAATATAAGGTCATTATTAATAAAGACATGAAAGAGGATTAATTGAAAAATAGAGAAATGGTAAAATTGGTTAACAAATTCGAAAGCGGTTTTCTTGAAAACACAATAAAATAAATAATATATTAATGAATTAAAAATTAAGATAATTCATGAGTTAGCAAGCAGGTGAAATGGCAGTTAGAGAGAAAATGATTTTAAGACGCTGCTTTGTAAACCACTTTACAAATATATATGACATGTGGACAGCAGATTGATTTGTTCTGGAGGAATATTATATAATGCTTAAGAAGTCAACAAAGAGTTTTAATCTTGTGTCCATTACTCACTAGCTGGGTAAACTTGGGAAATGTATTTATTTTACCTGTACTTCAGTTATGTCATGTGTAAAATGAGGGTGATATATTTTATATGGATTTACCTCATCACATTGTTCTAAGGACTTAATTAAATACACGTAGACTGAGGTAACTATGCAAATACCTGGCACCTACCTTGTGATTAGTAAAAGTTAGTGTATTCGTCTGTTTCACGTTGCTAATAAAGACGTACCTGGTAATTTATAAAGGAAAGAGGTTTAATTGTCTCACAGTTCAGCATGGCTAGGGAGGCCTCAGCAAACTTAAAATTGTGGTGGAAGGGGAAGCAAATATGTCCTTCGTCAAATGGCAACAGCAAGAAGTGCAGAGCAAAGGGGTAAAAAGCTCCTTTGAAACCATCAGATCTTGTAAGAACTCACTATCATGAGAACAAGAAAGCATGGGAGTACCCACCCCCATGATTAAATTACTTCCCACTCGGTCCTTCCCATGACACTTGGGGATCATGTTAACTACAAGTCAAGATGAGATTTGGGTGAGGACACAGCCAAACCATATTAGTCAGGCATTAGCAGTAGTGGCAATAGTTGGGTTTTACTGATTTAATACTTTAGCAGCCACTGAATTGGATGTTCTTAATATATAACTTTATTTTTAGAATTGCTTTAATATTAACTCTTAGAATTCAGACCAGCAATTGGAGGACAAATTTATGAAGATTTTTTTAAGTAAATAAAACCCAAATCAATGATCAGTCAGTTATGTTCAAGGTGCATAACTCGGCCCCCTTTTGAAGCCCTACAGGCTCCATTTCAAAGATTCATCAACAAGTTTTAGTTTGTCTTCCCACTTGGTTGGCTATCATATCATGGATATCATATCACGGAGAATTTATATAAACAGCTGGACGCTGGTGGATGAGAGAACTCATCTACTTTCTTGAACTTATCTGTATCTAGACCCCATGATGTCACTCTCACCAACTGTTTTGACCTTGTCATTTATTTCCATGGCACATAAAATATTTACATCTTTGGCAGGTACACTTCTATTTTCTGTTTAACAATCTGGCATTGATGATTCCCTAAAGAGCGTATTCTGGCCGTCCTACTCACCTGAACATTTAGAGGTGCCATGCTCCCATTTCAACTTAGCTACAAACTTTTGAAAATCTAGACCACAGAAGAGAACTACACCTTCATTTCCTAGCTAATTCAAGGCAGAATTCAAGGGAACACAGGTTAACCCCTGCCAGCTCTCCCTCTTCAGATTTTACTAATTGAAAGACAATTTCTTAATACCCCTCCTTTTCCGTTTCCTTCATTTGGTATCTTTACCAAATTAGTGGAGCTAGAGAGTCTCCACTAATATTGTGTGAGAGAGCAAAGTGGTGGCAGTGAATATGCAGTTTATGTTTTATTTCAAATCTATGAGCTGTCAATTCAAATTAAACTTCAATTATTTATCATTATTATATTTCTAATTGATACATTAATTGTACCTATTTTGGGGGTACAAAGTGATATTTTCATTCATGTATATGATGTGTAATGACGAAATCTAGGTAATTAGCATATAAATCACCTCAAGTACTTTTTTTCATGCTGGGAACATTCAAAATCCTCATTTATTGTATATTTTCAAATATACAATAAATTATTAGCTATAGTCAACCTACAGTGCTATATAACAATAGAATATATTCCTCCTATCTAGCTGTAATTTTATTTTCATCTACCAACATTTTCCTATCCTTTTCCAATCCCCAGCCTCTAGTAAGCTTTGTTCTTCTCTTTACTTCTGCGAGATCACCTTTGTTGTCTTCCACATGACTGAGAACATGCAATATTTGTCTTTCTGTTCCTGGCACATTTCATTTAACGTAAGGTCCTCTGGGCTCATCCACTTTGCCACGGATCAGAGGGTGGTGTTTCTTTATGTCTAGAGGAGAAAGAGGCTGTCCTGAAGGGACAGGAAGTTTAGTGTGAGTGGCAAGGAGTCCAGAGATGACAGAGTGAAAGTAATGAAATCAGAAAAGTGGGCAGGAGCCAGAATATTTAGCCTTAGATACCATAAAAAGTAATTTGGATTTTATTCTGATTGCAATGGTAAACAATAAAAAAGTCTTAAGCTTGGGGTAGGCACAGTCTGATTTATGCTGATAAAAAATGTGGACTCTAAAGGCAAGAGAAAAGAAAGAGATACCTCTTAGGAGGATGCTGAACAAATTCAGGTGAGAAATGGGATGATGGTTGAGTCTAATGTTATTATAGTAGAAGAGATGGTGAATTAGATGTGGAATGGAAAGAAAATGGGAAGAATCAAGGATGAGTTCTATGTGATACACCTGAGAAACTAAGTAATTCGTAGAGTCATTTAATGAAGTGAGGCATTTATCCTGCTTCAGGCTTTGACATATGTGGAGTAAGAGAGAAAACATCGTTTTCAAGTGAGAATTATATTTTCAGGGAGGTGAAGGTAACCTTCAGAGATGACAGTGAAGATTCAGGGAAGTTGCTTATCATAGAATATTCATTGCCTCTGGTGGGGGCAGGATTTGACTGAAGAAGGGCATGAGGGAGATTTCTGTGGTAATGGAAATGTTCTGCAACTTGGTACACACAGCTATATGCATTTGTCAAAACTCATGGAACTATAAACTTAAGATCTGTGCATTTCAGTGTGTGTAAATTATACCTCAAAACTAGAAACTTATGAGTTAGAAAAACAAAAGTGGTGTTGTTTGCATATAGAGAAGATGGTGAGAATAAAAAGCAATTCAACCAAGGCAGCTGTCCACTGAGATAAGAGTGAAAAGCAGCTTTAATTCTCTGAGTAAACGGTTTCTACTTAGCATGTTGTAGACAGAAATTTGACAACCTTGACTATAAAGAATCCATCACAACCACTTGAAAAGGCAAGTTATAAAGAACTCCCCTGTGACAATGATAACTTGTCAGTAAAATTTCCAACTTGTCAGTAAAATTTCCTCATATGATCAAGTATACGAAGGCTCATGACACTACCTGACCCTAAAGTTTCTCAATGGGAGGGTAGGGATACAATTATTCATGGGTTTCTTGTGTTCCAGGCCTTCTGAGTAATGGGCATGTTTGAATAGCAAACATATTTTTGGGAGCTATAGAAAGTGTGTCTCCCTAAAAAGAGACATTTCAGGATACTGAAGTGTGATGGTTTATTTTTATGTATCTACTGAAATCTCTTTCCCTTCCCTGGAAACATTTTTCTTACTTTCCAGGTTAATGAGTAATTTCTCTCTTTCTAGGGAGGAGGGTGAGCAGATTGCTAAAAGCCCATAAAAGCTTAAAGTTTCGTAATTTGGGGTTTCCTCTCCTGGAATGCAACCCCGCTGCATGCCGAAGTAAACATCTTGTACTCATAATGTTGCCCTAAGGGGGACTGGGGTGTAGAAATAAGATGCTAAGATATTACTCTGACTACTGCTTTTGCTATGAGTAACAAACCGTCTGTGTCTCTGGCCTAGGGTTTTGTGTTCTTCTATCAGTACATGCATATTAAGAAAACAAAAAGCTAACTTGCTAGCTTGCAAGGGGAGTTTTGTCAGATCCTCCACAATCTCAGAACTAACATGGAGATTTTACTGTAATCATGTTAAAGTTTCCAGTGGTGTATATTGGATTCCTATATCAAGACTTTAGTTCTAAGTCAGAGGGCCAACACAGTCCAGAAAAATTTGGAGGATATTTCCAGTCAACATAAGTGGGACCTATTAAAATTTAGAGTTATCTACTCTGGGGAGAGAAATATACAGCTCTACAGCAGTCTTTACAATGTCCCCAAACTCCAAATATACCTGTTAGTAACCTGCGTTACTGTCTAAGCCTAGTTATTTTTCATCAGTCATCATTGTGACTTTGCTTTCAAAGATCAGACACAAGTAGGATACAATATCTGATTGTATTTTCCCATAGGAGAAAGAGTTTGCGTTTAACTTTGTATTTAAACTGAGGAAGCTGATTTATACTCTAATGTTTTAAAACCTTCTTTGGATTTTAAACATATACATTCTTGATGCTTTGACAGGGACCAAGTTTTTACTTTTTCTGAAAGTGGCATATACAGATAATTTAACAATGGACTTCTACCCAGATGTACCATCACTATCTTCTTTTAAGTAAAGCAAAAAAAAAAAAAAAAGTTTGAGCATTTCTTCATAGCAATTGGCAGGAAGATCAGAAGATCTGAAGCCTGCTATCTTGCAATTCTCTTACTGATACTACATCTTCCCAGGATTGTGAGGTCTCTTTTCACAGATTTTTTTCTTGCCTGGTAGTGTTGACTTCAAGGCCTAGCCCTCTTTGAGAGGAACTCCTTTACTAGGTGTACCACCCCTCCTATCATGTACCAAAAAGCATTAAATTAGTCCCTCACTCTCATTCTTAGCCAGAGAAGCATATAATTCCAGTACATGGTACCATATTGTCCATTTCTGGAACTTAACTCCTCTAGTCTAGGATTCCACAGGCTAAATACAACATGTTAGTTTCATGAATCTGCCTGCAGCAAAAACTTCTCCATAGTTTTAGGGAAATAGGTAGATCATAGGGAAATACTTGAAAAATTCTATCAATGTAAGTATATTTTGAAATGTAGGTAAAATTGACTGTAGTTCTGACAATAATATAACAACATTTATGTTTATATTATTAACAATTGAATAGTGTCCATGGGGTAAAATATTCAATACATTATTTATGCCATTCTGTTTTTGTGTGATAGACAACTCTAACAAAGTAACTGTTTTAATGCCAACCTGAGACACAGAATCAGATAGTGTTTCTGCTACACCCTAGTGGGTTATTTTTTCTTAGGTACTAAACACATGCTAAGCAAGATATAGAACTTTGAATTAGATTTTGATCAATGACCTCATGCTAACTTTCGTTCTGTTTGTTTTGCTAGTGGGAAACTAATAAGTGAAGTTTCAGATCTCTTATGCATTTTGAGGGTATTTAAAAAAACAATAAGATAATTGTTACAGAAAGAATAGCTTCATATCTTGTTTCTTAACGTCAATGCTCTGTATGCCTAGGATTATTAGATATCTCCTAGAAAACTCTGATCTTTTGTGAAAGAAGAGCACAATTTATTTCTAAGAACAAAACCATTGAATATCTTTCTTTTTAGAAAAGTAAAATAATCTTAAATTGCCTTAAATTTTAGGTGATATTATCTGGACTAGAACACAAAGATAAAGAATGTCATCATGTCCTTTATATCATTCATCAACACATAGTTTGATATTAATTAAATAAAAGATTCATAATAAACAATAAGATAATAAAATAGAAATATCATTTTATTTGTCTTAATTATTATGTTTATGCACGTGCCTTAAATGTCTAGAAACATTCAACCTGTCTTCAATAATAAAGGTCAATGAGATATTCAATTACTTTTAAGCTATCAAGATTGCCTAATGAAATAAGGGGATGATTTTGCTCTTTTTTTTAACAACTCACTAGAGTGTCTGCAAGTTGGTAAATTGTTCCAAATTTACGAAAGTCGAATACTTTATCAGTACTGCAGAGAACCTAATTACCATGTTTATTAATATGCCTGTAAAAAAATTAATTCATACTGTTCCAATCCCCCAAGGGAGCCAGGGCATAACTTTCCTTGTCAATAGGACTGTGGATTCCTTTCTTCTCAGTGGCAGGAGAGTGGGAAAGGGCCCCTCCCTTCCAGTAACCGGCCTTGGTGTGACAGCCATGGTGTGGAAACAGACACCAGAGACATAGCAGAAAAAGTTAAGTGGGCTGAATATACTGACATGCTAGCTCCTAAAAGATGCTTCTCTGTATGGCTGAATGCATGACATTCTTTTGAAGTTTCATTAAGACTCTAGGAACCAACCTTCATGCTTCAATGTTCTCTTGACCCATTTCTTCTGAAGAGTCACAAAGTTCAAGGCAGAATAGAACAGGTTCTCAGTATTTCTTTCATAGCCTCTTTTTTTTTTTTAATGAAGCATATAGTAGTTCTGAGATTTTTCTCTACTCACACACATATTTCCCTGATGCCTTCATTTTATAATAAGGGTAGTACTTGGGAAGATGTATGTGGTACAGGATTGTCTTCTGACATTTCTCTTCTTTCCTAAACCTCACTTGCTCCTATAAGGTGTAGTCTGCATACTCAGCAGTCTATGTGTGATGATGCAAAGCAAATGCCCTGCTAGTAGCTGCCTGAGGGTGCAGGTTCAGATGGGAAGATACGCTTCTCCTTCGAGTATTATAAAAATTAATTTTATAAAATGTTTCTATTAGCTTGTAAACTGAAACCAAACCAAACCAAATATCTATATATAGATATATAATATCCATATATATGTGGGCTAAATAGAGCCCACAGGGCTATCAACTTATGATCTCTGCTAGAGAAAGGGACAAAGGCACACAAAAGATGATACCGCCTGGTTTATGTCTATAACATAAATGAATCCAGAGTCATCTATTTTGTAATGTATACTGAGAGGTATAAAGATTTCACATATGTTGGGGAATCATATTTCTTTATTTCTCTAAATGTAATTTGACTTCCTATTTCTCCATTAGTCAAACTCTTAGTTCATCATCCCATTCTTAAGAGTTTGTTTACTTCTTTGCAAACTGATCAAGAAATCACAGAATTAATAATATTTTTTAAAGAACTTGACCTAATTTCCATTGCCAAGTGCAAAAAAAAAAAAAAAGTGGCATCTCCCCTCTGCCACTGCTATCAGTACTATTGATCCTCACTGCCATAAGATGCCTGCCAGGAGTAGGATCCAGAACATCCACTCTGAGTTGACCCCTCTAAAACCTACTTTGGCCCCCACATCAGTGGTGCAACTTATGATCTCCCGTGCTGTTTTTTCTTCTGGCTTAGTTTCCACACTATTTGGGAGGAATCTTGATTGATAAATTTGCTCTGCTCACCTGATTCATAGTAAACTCAATCAACATTGTCATATTAAGTGAAGAGATCTAATGCTGCTCCCTCCCCCTGCCTTCTTTCTTCAAGTTTTCATCCTTCTATTTGAAGTATGGGGCAGATTAATTGGTCTACTGCTTAAGGAGAAATTAAACCAGAAACTGAAATGTCCATTTCCCTTTTTCCTGCCCCTTCAGTCTATAAGAATGATTCCCTCAAAAGACTCTTCAAATGGCTCTGAGTGAAAAAAACATGCCTCTACTCTTCCTTATTCAGGGAGCAAAGGGAAAAGTCACAGCATTCTCAAACAGACTGACAGTTTCCAATTCTATAGATCCCTTCCTCCCAATTCCAATTGTTTGCTTATAGCTTACATAGTCTGGTTTAGAAGTTAATAAACTTCTTCAGTGATGTTTACAGGGGACAAGTTTTTTTTTTTTCCCAATCCTTAATCAACCCCAAAGGGAGTTTTCTAATTACTATTTGCTGTTATTCTCTACTTGCTGTCTTTTTTTTGTTTAATAAGCTAAGTTTTGAACAGCAGTTCCTTCCAAGTTCTGGGATATTAGGAAATTTTTTGCTCAAATTTGCACATTTGTATGAAGTAGGAAAAATCCCAAAGACAAAAAGGCTATGAGATTCTGGGGAAATTCCAGAAATAATCTGAACACAGAGGGCTCATGAAGTACCCTTATGCTAGCATGACATGCAAAAAACATGGACAGCATACCAAGGTAGGAAGAGTAAAAACACTTTTATCCTGTGTAAATGATTCTTGGAGGAGAGAAATAAAGAAGAACGAGGAAGAGCAGGAAAAAAGGGAAGAAGAGAAAGAACAACAAAGGAAGAGGAAGAAGAGGGCAAAAGTTCTTCTGACTTGCAGAATGGAACACAGGAGAAGACAGCCAGGTGTTCTGACATTAAGCAGCAGAGCAAGAGTTCAGGTTCCCCGATGAGAAATAAACTATCACCTCTGGTGGGCTGAGGACATGACTTCTCTGCTCTTTGGGGTAGGGCTCATAACCGCCCAGATTTCCTTAGGCATCAACAGACATCTGCTGATGAAAGCATGCTGTAGGAGAGACATGACTGTCAGCACGTTCTGCTCCCTCACACCCTCTCTCTTCCCCTTTGCCATCGTCCTTGGGACACGGGTTTAAGAAAGAGGACAGCAGTGATCAGCCCTTGGGAACTCAATAGGTCTTGAATGTGACAACTCTTCTCTGTTCTCACTTCTGAGACTGTCTAAGACCCTGTATAAGCAATTTGGAAGGCAACTGAAGTGCTGGCAGCAGCAGTGATGGTGGTGGTGAGGGGTTGGTGTGGGATGCTTAAAGGAGGGCGATTTGAAATGAATAGCATGTGAGAGCCTACTATTGAATTCTACTCACAAAATACACAAGATTTGTAAGGAAAAATTAGCTGAAACTATTTTATGAAGGGACTAGAGCACGTGGAAGCTCAAATAGTACGTTTCTGCAGCAGCGTCAATGTCTGGGGTAAATACCTGGGGTTCGTCGTCTCACGCCAAGAAAATTTAGGACATTGGACACACACAGGGAGTTTAGGAGTGGAGGCTTAATAGGCAGAAGAAAAATAAAGGAGAATAGTTCTCTCTCTCTCTCTCTCTCTAGTGAGAGAGAGGGGCTTCCAAAAGCAGATCAGCTGGCCGGGAGTTTGCTGGATTTTATAGGCAGGCTTGAGGAGGTGGTGTCTGTTTTACCTAGGGCCCACAGATTGGTTCAATGAGCTGTGACATTTACATAGCACGTGCCAGAGAAGGCTGACCACCCCAACCTGATCTTATTATGCAGATGGGCTTTCCACTTGACCTGCACCATCTTGTCTGCTCCTTACTCTACACGTGGCTGTCAAAGAGAAGGGAAGGTGGAGCCGCCAGTTTGAACATGCCTAGTCCCAGGTAGCTCTGTCCTGCCGGCATTCACCTATGCAAGCTTTCAGCCTGCTTGTGTGTGTCTGCAGCTCGATTCTACAGGTTGCTCCTTGTTAGAAAATGATTTGGGGGCTGCTTTTCATTAAAAAGAAAACCTTACCAAAGACTCCCGTACCCTCACTATCTGCTTAAGTATTTTCTTCTTAACTCCTCTGTCATTTCTGCATCTGTTTGGGCCTCATACATTAAAGTTCCGATTGTGCAAACACAGTTTCCGATTTGCGACTGTAGTTCACATCTCATGCAGTGAGAATCCTGTGAGAAAAATCTCTCTTCTTTTCTCTCAAGCATATTCACAGATGTATTCCCTTCAACCTTGACCCAATCACAATGCCCCTGGATGGAGGAGTCCTGAATTTAAGTAGAGGGAAGTTTTTAGTTATTCCTCGTCATAGAGCCATAAGAAAATAGGAAAGATCGTTCCTCTTTCTCCTCCTCCTCCCCCTCTTCCTCCTGCTCCTCCTCCTTCTCCTTCTTCTTCTTCACTTTTCTTTTTTTGTTTTGCATTCTGATTTGTTGCACATTTGTCTTAGTTAAGTATTAACATCCTGTTCAGTTTTCCAAGTTGTTGTTCTTTTCACTAGCGCCAGATTTCTACCTTGAAGAGACATTGCAGAAATGGTGGAGCAGATCAGTTAGGAGCAAACCGACAGCAGAAGGCCTGTGTGGCATAGGACATGGACAGGGGATACAGCGCTGGTTTGAGGTGGAAAGGAGGACTCAGAGAAAGATTGAGGTGTCACTGGCTGTAAAGGCCACTGAGCCATACCTGAGTGATCTCTGAGGTTCAGTCGTAGGTAAAGTTGCACAATTCAAAGTAAATATAGTGAATCACGGCTGAGGCAGTCATAGAGCAGCAATGATCCCAGTAGAGTGGGAAATATAACCATCCCAGGGGACTGCAGCAAGGAGAAGGTCAAAGGGTGCCAAGGCTGTAGGGAAGGCTGACTCAAAAGGTTTGCCCGTGTTGTTAACAGCTGTGAACTTGTTGATAAAAGATCAGCAAATGCACAAGGAGAAGGGAATTTACTGACATTGTATAACAACCTCTGAATTAATGTTACTTTCTATTATAAAGAAAAAATGTTTTATTTGAAATTAAAATTTCCTTTCAGGGGGCCTTACAAAGGAACATAGTTGAAGGCCATTTTATTTTAGCTGAGAACCTACATAGCTCTTGGATATGCAAAATAAGGCCTTGGAGCTGAGTTTGGGAATAGCAAACAGAAGGAGCTGAACGCTCTGCTTAGTGGAGTGAGAGGAATTCGAGTTCCTGGAAGCAAAACCAGGGTGAAGAGGGGAGGAGGAACAAACACAGACTAGCCTACAAGGCCTGAGTGCCTTGAGAGGAGAGAGGCAGAATGGGGTGGGGGCGGGGCAAGAGATTGGGGATGGAAAAATGACCCACGTGGCTCAGCAAATTTAGCAGAAGCTATAACTAGAGCCATATACAAAAAAGCTTTGGATTTTCCCTATGTTGTCTAACAACCTTAGAGTGACCTAACCTCCATCTTGTAGTCAGGAGGCTTCCAGATAATTAAGCATGTCAAAATAATTGTGACCAGAATGTCTTTCCCAGATTTCAGGTATTTTCAGGAATGCTGAGTGGCAGGAAGAAAACATATGATTATCTCAAAATAAGGTAGGAAACAAATTATATGAAAGCTTTAAGCAAGAACAAACTAATGAAGGTATTTATCTGAATAGTCATTTAAACTGTGAATCCTCTGAGAGACTGCATTTTATTCAGTTTCGTTATTTCAGTGACTGTTACAGTGCACATAATAAATGTTCAATAAATGCTTGTTACATAAAGAAATTAATAAAAGGAGGGAGAAAGAAAAGCAGGAAACGGAGCAAATCTCAGATTGTCATTGGTTAGGAGTAACCTAAGAACACAGAGAATATGCTTAATGAAACTCAGTGTCTTTGCCATGGCCCTTTCATCTGGAACGTGGTCTTTTCCAACATGCGCTCACACACACAGTCTCACAACCACACAGCCTTGTTCCCTTACCTGCTACAAGCTTATCTGCCATTAACACTTTATTTAAACGTGTGACTCTCCCCTAAACTCAATTTGGCTTTTCCTATGTCATTTCCTATTTTATTTTGCTGCATGACCTGCATACCATCTAGTCCGTTATATATTTTATGCAGATTTATATTCGTCACCACGCTTTGATATGTAAGCTCCAGGATGTCAGGAACTTCTATCTGTTTTGCTGAAGGATATACCCCCAGCAACAAAAGAGGGCCTGGTCCGTAGTAGGTACTTTTGTAGGAATGCATATATGAATGAATGAAGGTTTATATAGGAATCATGAAACCTACCATTTGAGAAATAGAAATAATTTTTTCCAGCTGGACTGCAAGAGGCATGCACACTGAAGAAGTTTTAAAAAAAGAAAAACCCATTACCAGATATGAATTAAAGCCTGTCTGCTTTTATGTATTCAAAACCCCAACCAACACAGAACAGTAGTCAGAAGCTGGACCTAATTTCAAGGAAGGAAATTAGAAGCTTATTTTCTGTCTTTGCTTTGCTTTTGAGTGTGTCTTCTGATAGAAGCCAAATGCTGTCCGTCAGCCTGTTACAGCATGTGCTCTCATGTACGGCCACACTTTTCATTGCTGTCCCCCTGAGTTAAACCGCTCTTTTCTGCTGCCTTGCTGTCTAGGGCTTGAGATAAAAATGTTCAGTTGCTGCTGCCATGCTGCCTGTCTCCTGTGTTTAAATGTGTCCATATCACGGTGTTTGCATCTGACTACGTCTTGGCAGCTTCCAAATAAGACTTAGAGAAACCAAGCCACTGCTGGGATGATGACTAATCATTTTGCAGAACAGCGTGAGTCAAACAAAGGTATAGCTCATATGGTTCTCAGTTTTCCTTCTGAGACATACCACCACAGAACAGAGAGAGGATTGATTACGAGCAAGTACCATCACGGACACAGCTGTAACTGGTCGACAGATGCAGCCTTATTATAATATGCATTCCACAAGCATATGGAATTGGGTGAAATTAAACTAAAAAATAAAGAGATTGAGCCCTCCGTCAAATAAGAGGTGTGTAGAAGCCAAAAAATCCTCCCTGTTTGTTGTTTTCTACCTTTCCAAACTGTAGCAGATGTTGTCAATTCTATAAAATTAGAAAAAAATGCAAATGTCCACTAAATCCTGAGTGGGGATTAATGCAAAACTGCAGAAACATTGAAATTCAAAATACCCAGTAAGTTATGTTTATTAATATCATCCACATATGCCTTTTTTTGGTCTTTAGGGTGCTCTTTGATGTAACGCCAAATGGATCTACAAAGGATGTGGAGCAGTATGTGTGATCCTTTTATTCATTGAAAAGGAAAGGGCAGCACGAGGTAAATGTTGGTTGCCATTAGCTTGTAAGCTTTATCCCAGGAAAAGTTTAGGGCAGCATGAATTATCATAGGATGTGCCCTTTTTTGGATTATCTATTGCTACCATTTACCTAAAACACTCTCCAACCAGCATGGTTACCTTTTTCTTTGTAATATTTTAAAATTCAATTGCATTTAGGACATTTTCTCATCTTTTCTACCATATCTCTTTTTCTGTATGCCTTCCTAAAGTTTATAAAGTTAGAGGACAAAAATAAAAAGTTGTCATAAGGGGCCATTTTTCAATATTTGCTGTGAGTGGAATTATTTAATATACGATGGTGAGAAACCATCGTATATTAAAATAAACATTTAGGGCATGTATCTTGGCTAGAATATTTGAATAATGTTCTGTACTGACAATGTTCAATAAATATTATCACTCAGAAAATAAAAGCAGCAAAAATTTGGTGGTACAGTTTTAATGTTTAAATTTAGAAGAAAATATCGAAGGCCAGAAATCATCTAATATCTGCTTCCCTATCAATAAGAACCAATGTAAACTAAATATTGCAATCTTGTTATAAAAATGTGGTTTCCTTTACTGACTATTGAGGGAACACATTATGGCAAGCAATCTTAATTTAAAAAGTCAAAATTTGAAAACAGCAGTAATGCCAATTTCACATTGCATTTGAAGGATAAATATCAAACCCTGTCGATAAATTTGTGCTTAGAAAAACTGTTTTTGCAGGTTTTCTCTTCTAAAAGATCTACCCTTATCATTTAAAAATAGGAGCGCAGTCTTATCTTTCAGTCCTGCCTTTCCAGTGCCCTCTACTGGGCACTATAGTTGATAAATATGTGTATCTACTCCTCCAGGTTCGCCTCTGATTTTATTTCTAAATCATAGAATAAAGGGGAGGGCTGAAAGAAATTTGAGAATTCCATCCCTGCTTTCTACTAGGGTCATAACCAAGCCACCTGAGAGATATGAAATCTCTTCTGTTTTTCAAGATTGTTAAAAAAGAAAAGTGACTCAAACCTATTTTGCTTGGTATTTTCACCCAACTGGCCTATACCTTAGCTGCCTTAGTGAGTGTTTAGGATGACTTAAATTACTGCACCTGCCACAGGTGCCTTCTGGGTGCTGTAATATATAACACTGCCTTTTATTCTTTAAACACAAAAGATGTGGCTTTCATTCTTGGCTGATGGAAGTGATCAGTACAACATAAAAATTGCAAGTGAGTTTATCTCTGTTTCTTTGCTAGCTGTAGTAATGGGTGCATATGCACTATAGAGATGACATTATTTCTATCTGTTTTAAATATTTTTTCTTAGTAAATGTCTATAAAAGAATACATTCACAAGCAAGTAACCATGGAGGCCTTCTAATGAAATTTATTTTGCTGCATTTTAGTGAAAAGGACAAAATATCCTGTATTATTAGACTGGAATTCAGTATAAAATATCCATTAATAATTAGCATTTGTGCATAATACAGGCTTTGTTAGTTTTGGTGTGTGCAATTAATCTGTAAAATATTTTTAGCAAGATTTAAAACAAAATAATGCAAAAGCCCTGGATAAAGAGACTCTACTAGCTTTTCCTCTTATTTTTTCCCTCCTTTGGTTATCAATTTTCTAATTGAAAAATTATAGAGGATGACATTTAGTACATTTAAGAGCTATTTTGACTGAGTTTTTACTCCCTGAATGTTAAACACATATGAATATTTACAACATATCAGAGCATGGCACACCTATTCTTTCCTTTCTGTTTTGGAAATTTGCTTAGGCTGCTCAGCTGTCCCTTCTCTATGGCCACATAATAGAAACATCATTACCTCCAGCAACCTTCCAGTGGGTTAGTAGCATAACATTCCTGATGGATAGAACATGTTTCTGGTTTTTGAAGTTACTCGAATGTTTCTAACAGTTGCAGCTAATCAACTGCTGCACTGATTAATTAAAAAGTGCCCCAGCAGTCATTATAAAATATCAATATACAGTAGCTAAAATAGTCTTAAAGAGGCCAATAAGGATTATTCCATATTTCTGTAGTCATATTTTGATTGAAAGTGTATAGAATGTTTGTATATATTATAAATACTATTGTTCTGTGTAGCTATTTTTGACAAATAAATATTCTATTGCAAAATGAAAATAACCCAGAGGAAAAGTACAAGGACTTTAATTTTAACTTAAAAAAAAATCAAACCTTCTTCAAAGCTAACAGAAGACCGACATGCTGATCATATCTTTCAGAATCTCTTGAAGTGTAAATTTAGTCAGAGTGCCAAACATAGAAAGTTGATCTCAACCAAATCTTCAAATGGACAAAACATTCTCTTGGACTCAGCAAGGACTGAGCCAGCTGCCAGTTGATATGTGGGCAGAGAGAAGTTAAGTGCCTGATTCTGGGGGCATTCAGCCTCTATGCTTCAAGGTAGCATAGTCTCAACATCAGATTCTGCATTAGAGCTTTGAATATATGTTAGGAGAAAAAAAAACCTGTTCAATTTCGGAAATTACTCTAGCTTGCAATATTTTTGACCATCTAGTTATGTTCATACATTTTGTGATAATATATGGGAATATGTATTAAGCTGGAACCTTTGTCACCCAACTACTGGGTCCAGAATTGTAATTTTTAACAATTTTGTTGCATTAGGCTACCAACCACTGTTTACTAACTGCATGTGGAACTAAAAATTGCTGATGAAAGCTTTGTAATATAATGGAAAAGGTGTTGGATTGGAAATCAAGAGAGCTATTTTTTTTTCTATTGCTTTCACTACATGTTACAGTGGCCTTGGAGCAAGGTGTCTTGTTTTACTTTTTAAATAACACTTTTTACAAATACTGACTTCTGCAGGGTGGAGTGGCTCATGCCTGTAATCCTAGCACTTTGGGAGGCTGAGGCGGGCAGATCACTTGAAGCCCGGAGTTTGAGACCAGCCTGGCCAACATGGTGAAACGCTGTCTCTACTAAAGATACAAAAATTAGCTGGGTGTGGTGGGGGGGCACCTGTAATCCCAGCTACTTGGGAGGCTGTGGCAGAAGAATTGCTTGAATCTGGGAGGTGAAGGTTGCAGTGAGCCCAGATCGCACCATTGCACTCCAGCCTAAGCAAAAAAACCCAAATCAAACCAAACCAAACCAAACAAAAAAACCTGACTTTTTTTTTTTTTATCTATCATAAGTATTGGTTGAACTAAGGAGATTAGGTCTTCTGCAGCTATAAATTTTCATAAGCCAGACTTGTGTACCAAAACACTTTATCAACATCTCTGCCTAGAAATCCTAACAGATTTCAAGGATAACATGCTAACATGTTCAAAAACAAAGTTCTGACTTTCCTCTACACTCTTCTCAGTCTTCTTAATTTCAGAAAATAGTAATTATTTAGATTCCAAATCCTGAAGTCTTTTTAAGTTTCCTTTATTCTTTATACCCCACATCCAATTTATCAGCAAAATCTGTTGGCTCTACCTTCAAAATGATGCCAATAGTGGCCACTTCTCTTTGTCTCCAGTATTTATGCTCTGGTCCATCCATTATCTTTAGACTTTACTATTTCCATAGTATACTGGTATGGTTGAATTGCATTCTTCCAAAAAGATATATGGAAGCCCCAATCCCTAGTGTCTCAGAATGTGACCTTATTTAGAAATTTTGCCTTTGCAGTCAAATTAGGATGAGGTCCTTTGGGTAGGCTCTAATCCAGTATGACTGGTGTCCTTATAAAAAGGGAAACTTTGGATGCAGAGACAGAAGAGCACACAGAGAGAATGCCATGAGAAGATGAAAATAGAAATCAGAGTGATGCATCTATGCCTAAGATTGTCTGCAAACCACCAGAAAGCTAGGCGAGAGGCATAGAAGAGAGTCTCCCTCAGAGCTGTCAGAAGGATCCGACTCTGCCAACACCTTGGTCTCAGACATCTAGCCTCCAGGAGTTTGCAACAACAAATTTCTCTTGTTTAAGCCACTCAGACTGTGGTACGTTGAAGAAAACTAGTGCATATGTTAAGTGGTCTTTCTGCTTTCCACTCCTCCACTATGGCCTATTCCCCACACAGCAGTTGGAAACATATATATACACACATATACATATATATGTGTGTATATATATAAAATAAAGGACTGCATTCTCTCCTTTTTATTCTCCCAGTGGGAAAGAAGAACTGTCATTAATGGCAAGTGGCAGTTGAAGCAACACCAAGAGCTGGCTTCACATTTAGGAAAGAATGCTGTGCCTTCTCGTCCTCGTCGTGGTTTCTGGTGCTCTACACATTCAGAGAAACTTCTCTTGTAACAAACTATAGAAATGATTCCTGAAAGTATAGCCTTTAGAAACAAGTATTTTTTAAAGTACCAGTAAAATTGTATTGCCTCTTTATTAAAAATCCTCCCATAGTTCCCCATGTGCACCTGATCTACAATTCTATTCTTTCTACCATTTCTTCTATGACCTGTCCCCTAAAATCAGTCTGCTCCAACCAGAGTTCCTGGCATATAATAAGTGCCTAATTAGTATTTGTGAACTGATAGAATAATTAAATTTTAAATCAGCAAAACTATTTTTGAAGTTTTTTTAAAAGATTAATAATGGAGAGAATAAGACCAAGTGCATAAGTGTTGATTAAACCGAAATGACCTTGCAAAATTTCATTCATTCATTCAACACACCTCGTTAATACATGCTGTTAGCCAAGTGCTGTTCTAGGCACTTGACTTTCAAATGTGGAGAGGCTGTAGCTCCTATACATCTGGCATAGGTGAAGGAGCAACTACAATACATGAAGGTAAATCTTACCATAGAGGTGAGAACAAAGTTCTATGGTACCACAAATGAGGGAGCAATTACTTCTGTCCAAAGCAGTTATGGGGGGTTTCCTAAAAAAGGAGACAGTTAAGCCAGGCAATCAGGCAATCTTAGAAGTTTGGTGGTGGTGGTAGGAGTGTTAATGGATAGGTGACACATAGGAAGGTGAACATTTCAAGGTGCTGACATAGCATGTGCAAACACATGGCAGAATCATGCATCTAGAAAAGGTGCCATTTGTTAGGCAAAGCTGTGTGTCCCTGGCTCACTATTTCACTGCTCAGCAGCCAACCAGCTGCAGAATCCTATAGGAACACTGGAATCTCCGATCTTAGAAATAGGAAATCATAGGCGCCTTCTGCATTTAAGAAAATCCCTGACTCTCTTTATTTAAATGTTCCACAAGCCAATAAAACAAAAAGCCAACAAAGTGGGAGTGGACTCTAACTCTGTCTTCACTTTAGCAGCAGAGCGGTATATCCAGCTGGATCCTGCTGCTAGATGATTCTATGTGACTGAATCCTAGCCCCCTCTCCCAGCAGGAGACAACCAGGAATGGAGTCTGGCCTCATCATGAGAGATCTGATATATTTTCATATTTCAGTGTTTTTTCTTCTATTTGTGTAACCCTAAATGTTTTACAACATTAATATTTTGTTGCCCCATTTCTTATGCTGCAAGCACATGAGGCAGACATGCAAAGAGAACCCACGTCTTTTGATGGTCTGTTTACTACCCCTTGTGAGGTTTGGGGTTTTAAAATATCAATTTCTTGCCGATATTTCATGTAATGCTAACTGTCACAACTGCTCTGTCTAGCCCAGCAAAATTGGCTTTAATATGCTAAAGAAATTAGAGAATTGTATTGCTTCTGGGTTCTAATCCTAGCTCTATAATTAATCATTGTATGTCATAAACCAAGGCATTTAACCTTTCTATTAGTACCCACATCTATCTGACAACCAGCTTGGACTGTAACAGTTGCTAAGATTTATTATTCCCTGATCCTAGGAAGAAAAAAAAAGTGAATTGGAAACAGCTTACAATCACCATCAGTAGTTACTTGAAAGACATTGAGATTTCTTTTTTGTTTGTTTTGTTAGTTTGTTTTCAATATTGACTTTTCAGATGTGTGAATCCTCATGCTTCCTTGATCCATGTGTCTATAACTTAGCAACCAAGCAGTTATGGTTTGAATGCTGAATTTAAAGAATTTATTATTTTTCATATAGAGTTAATGGTGTGTGTGTGTGTGTGTGTGTGTGTGTGTGTGTGTGTGTGTGTGTTGTATTTATCCACCTAATCTTCTCAGGCAGGGGTTATTTAAATTCCTAGAGGCTGCTTTACAAAAACTCAGAGTAGGTTTGCTCTTTCATCGTAACTACTACGAGCTATGTGGTGTGAGCATGACTTAAATGGGTAGTTGGTTTTCATTTCACATCATTGCTACATTTATTTGCTTTTATAGATCTTAGAAAGTATTAATAAAAAATCCGTTGTGCATGAAACACCATTTTTTTTCTGTGCCTGAAATGATACGTAATATTGACTAAACAACCCACTTTTATTTCCTTGACGGAATCTTGTGCCTGTGGATCCCATTTTGATCCCAAAAAGTCTTACATCACAAATGCTGGAGCAAATGTTAGTTCCCTCGTAATATACTACTGCTTCACTTCCCTGTGGTACATATAGCTACATTCAAGGTTTAGCATAACTTAGGAAATATTTCTATGGGAAGTATGCACAACAGATCTTCCTAGCAAAATAGAAGCTATTTTAAGAGAGAGATATTAAATAGATCAGGAAAAAGTAGGGTAAAAGAATATGTGTAGAAAGTCAATTTTTTTAAAAAAAGACATTCTTATTAATTTTTTTGGTGTTACCATCTGTCATAATGTATATAGTAGTGACATACAATTTATATTTTAGGATATAAGAAGTAATTTCTTTAAAAAATCAGTGAGTAAAGATTTTAAATGATACTTTTAAAAATCTTGCCTAATTACTAAGCTCACGGTGATATCAAGGAAAAGTATTTGTTCAGTATATTAAGAAATTAAACTTTAAATAAGCTAATTTGATGATATTTCTGTGTATGTTGTACTTACCTTCACATGATCTGGTAGTTACATTAAAGCCAGTTTACATGATTTTAGGCCATTTATCTGCTTTATTTCCTTTTAAAAAAATCTATACAACTCCATCCTATCCCTCATAATATTAATTTCCCTGGTTTCTGTTCATGTTTCAAATATATTTCCAAAAGAATATGATTCAGATAAGTATTTAAAGGAAACATATCATCACATTGAGCCAGGTGTTATAGCTATATGTGAAGGGATTAAGCAGCTTAAAATATGTTGTTACAGATCCTGGATTCTCCCCTCCTTCTTGACAACCAAGGTCATGTTTTCCTGGCTGCAACTGTGGGGAATGTTTTTAAGCAGTTTTGCAGACTCAGTCCTGCACACCTCAATTAATGTATCCTTGTGGGGTAGGGGAAGAGGACCTCTTTGTAATGATGTGTATCTTACAACACACTAAATTTTTATAATCATGCAAAACAGAGCTGCATTTATATGCAGCTGCTGATGACAAAAATACCTCTGAGAGCAGGTTATTTTTATTTCCACTTGGTTGAAAATAAGCAGAAACAAATCTTCGCACAATTAGGATGACAGGACATGTTCTGCTCTTCATCTCAAGTTCCTCTTCTGCTGCCACACCCACCTGATGGCTATGCTCTGCCATCTCCTGCTTCAGGGATCTGCGCCCTCCTGTTTCCTATTCCTATTTCACAAAGTACTGACATCCATTGGGGCACTTTTGCATTAATTGACTTATTGCCCTTTATATGAAAGAATTTCAAGTATTCTTCTAGGCCAGCCTTAGCATCTTCAGCCTTCCATTCCTAATTATGAAATAAATGTTATAAATTCATGAGCAGGTGGCTCACTGCATTGTTCAGATACCTGAAATCACAAAATAGTCAGTTCTGCTACAATGCTTGCTTTGAGAACATGAATTTGTTTCAGTGTAATTGAGATATTTGGGAACAATTTAAGCATAATGCAAATTTCACATTTGCTTCTGTGGGAATTCCTCTGCCGGAAACACTAGGAGAACTCAAAAAACTGCACCCAGCTGAACCCATCTGCATAAGAATATGAAAATTCAGACGTCACCCATCTCAAACATCCCCCAGCTACCTCAGTTCACTATGTGCGCTGTGAGCCACATCTGGCGTTACAAATTTCATCTGATTCTGAGAATCCACCTTCTACCATCTCACAGTAACTTAAAGTTGCTATTCTTATATTGCTTAATTTTGAAATAAGAAAATTTCAGGTCTTTCTTAAAATTGTATTTTATTGTAGAATTTATGTATTAATAAACCATTTAATATATATAAAACTGTGCATATTTATTAAGTTCTTATCTTTTTAATGTATGACTGATGAAGTTTTTGTGTTGCGTGTCTGGTTTTTGCTGCACAGTTTTGCATAGCATGATAACTTTCAGGAGTGTATATGCAGCATTACAGCAAAACTGACAGTATGAAACTGCCTCCACTGCCAAGATTGCTGTAGTGGGGATATCTAACAATACCTTGTTTGGGCCTATTTTGAGAACTTCTTATCCTTGACTCTTCTTCACATCAACTCTCAGTCACCACTCAAAGACCAGTTTTCTTTTATACACCTGAGAACAGTTACGAAATATCTGATCATTGCATTATTCTAGAGGGTTTGGCTTTTATTAGAAATGCAAGAGGTACTCTTGAAGAATTTTAAGCTGGAGAATGGCCGAGATAATAACAGGAATCAAACCCATGCTGGAGAGGACTTTGCATAAAAGTTTCTATCAGGACGCTCTGATTGTGACTCAAAAGCCTGTGAGCTCCTAGAGGACAGAAATTGTCCAATCATCTCAGAAGCCTCTATGCTGGGCATCCTGCCTGACCTGGAATGGCTCAAAGTGTTTACTGAACTGAATTCCAACAGTACAAATGAGGATTAGTCCTCAAAATGGTTACCAAGAGGCACTGAAAAGTCTTAATAATGATGCAGATAATCAAGTTCTCCACTTAGACAAGGAATTCTTCCCTTAGATTTTAGAAAATAATTGTTTAATAGTGAGAATTAAAACAAAAATGATTTTTCATTTATCTTAACTAAATCTTATGCTTTTTGAGCTCCTGCTTTTTGCTTAATAATATTTGGGCACAGTGCCTTTCCCATCAGGACATGATTGATAATCATTCAATTCATCAAAAAACCAGTTAATCAGAACATTCATTTCTTCATAAGTATTGTATTTAAGTGTCTGTTGTGTATAATTTAATGTTTCACACAGTTTGGCTATTTTAATTTCTTAAAAGACTTTTGGAATTTTTACAGAATCCTCTAGAGATGAAAATATGAAAAATCTTTCAGTCTTTTGCAATGCTATTGCATTCTTATGCAATAATAATGCAATATCATTGCCTTCTCATGTAATATTTATACACTTAAAGCTAAAAAAGATAATGAACATCAGAAGTAAAACAATAGTGACTATGAAATCATGAGTATGGCTTACTCTAAATGTGATCTCTGCTGAGTGACTCTGACTTCCTTTCAATTAAGTGCATATTACAGCTCCCCAGGTGGGTAGCCATCTGCTCCTCATGGAAGGTAATGCCACCCAAGCTCTCGGCTCTCTTCCCTGCCAATTAGTCCCCTATATGCATTTTATATGAATGTTGCAGAGCCTTAGATAGGTGTGAAACTTTGAAGCTTCTATACTTTTGATGAAATCTGATTTAAGCATACACTGTCAAAGGAATGAAAAGAATAAATATCAATATGGCAATGGAATTTCTATAAACACTACACAATTTTGTTCCTCACATGGTTATCTGAATTTAAAATGAAATTCTTCCAGGCTTAAAATAGATAAGTCGCTTAATAATAGATTTGTTTTTAGTAATAATGTCACTCCCTGCTTCTCATTGGAATTCAAATATGACAGTTTTTCCTTACATGATTTAAATACATGTAACTGGCCACGATCCTGTGGTGCACATTGACCCCTCTGTATGTTCCACATGTTTTCCAGTTATTTTAAGTGTGTTGTTTTTGACCCCAAGCAATTTTTATTGCCTTATAGCACTATTCTGTGTGGAAAAAAATAAAATCAAACTGGAGTTATTTAGGCCAAATGATACAGTGGGTTTCTAGGAAGCCTGAGGCAGATTGTCCGTTTTGAATTTAGAAGAAGCCACTGGAGAGTGACAGTTCCAAAAAAAAAAAAAAAAAAAAAACACAAACACACGAAAACCTCTGTTGTGAAATATTAGGCTTGGGAAACAGAATTAGGGAAAGCTCAGATTAATGCATTAACATACTATTATGCACCCCTAAATAGAGATCCTAGGAATAGGCTGCCACCTACTATATTAACTCTAGTTCCTACCTGAAAGTTCAGTTGTTTCATTGAATAGATAACCTCAATTAAAAGTGCAATCCTATTAAATAATCATCTATCCCCTTAGTAAATGAGGACTGAAGTGGTAAGCTGTATTTATACTGTGAAAGTTAAGCAAAGTCCCTTATTAGTAACTGTTTTTATTTTAATTTCTCAGAACAGTTATTTTGGGTTACATTTATAAGTATAGACTAAGCTGGTGTCACAGAGACCCAAAATAGTAGTGGTTCAAGTAAAACAATAAAATGTTATATCTCTTGCATGTGAAAATCCACAGGTAGGGAAGAGGTCCAGGGCAAATAGGCAGTTCTAATCCATGAAGTCATCCAAGCATCAGATTCATTTCCCTCCACCATTCCAGAGTAGGTTTTCCTTGTCTGTATGGTTGAAGTTGGCCATTATTACAAAATCTCTGTGTTTCTATCATTAAGGAGAAAGTAAGAAGATGGAGCACAATTTCCTTTTTAAGCTGTGTGATCCAGGAATTACACACACAATTTCCCATACCTACTTGCAAGAAAGTTTGAGAAATATAATCTCTAGCTGGACAAATGTTTGTTCAACTAAACTCAAGCATTCTATTATTCAAAGGAAGAAAGGGAGAATAGATATCAAGGAAATCTTGCTCCACCTACTAACTAGCTGTTTACTTATTTATGTTTTTACTAATTTAATAATAAAATTATTTCCAGAGGTATAATAAGGAAGCTTTTTGAATAAATTGTACCAGGTTTCTTCCACTTAAAATCATTCCATGGTGCACTGTATTGCATCAGTACAAACTCCTAACATCACTTATAAGGCCCTGTAGGCTCTGGCTCTTGACTCTGACTCCAACAACAATTTAAACATGCTTCTACTGGCTTCCTATTTTCCAACTACATTGATCTACTTTCCGTTTTGTGGACATCCCAGCTATTTCCATCTCTCCATTTTTGCTCTTGTTATCCCTTCTTTTATAAATGTTCTTCCCAGAATTCTATGTATAATTAATTAGTTCCTTGTTTCCCTTCAGTGCAGCTCATGTATCACTTCTTAAGATGTCCTTTCACTATTCTATCTGGCTTCCCCAAATTTCTTCGCCATTTTTTAATCTACTTCAGAGAAATTTATACTTTCAATTGTTTTGTTAATGTATTTTTAATTCATTTACTGCCTGATTTCCCCTCAGGAATATAAGCTCTGGGAAGACACAGACCTCATTTGTTTTGTTATCTCAGATAAACTGATTCCTGGAATGTGGTTACTAGAACATAGTAGATGCTCAAGAAATATTTTGGGAATGAGAAAATGAATATATAATTATAAATATGTAATGTGCATATATGTAATATTTGCAGTATCTTTTGGAACACTGTATTGTCAAATTAGTGTTTGTCATTGTCTTAACACTGTATAAAGGATGGAAAAGGTAATGTAAAGAGTTGATGTACAGTTCATCATCACTTTCTTCATCTGAGATATAAGCAGCCTCCTGACCATAGTATTATGGATAAGTAGAGTATGGCATTCTATTTTTTGTTAATCTTGTGTTACCAATGTATTTTCATTTGCTTTATATCATAGCCATAGAACTGTATTTACTAAACCCTGAAAAAGCATTCTGAAATAGAACCAAATATTTGTTGACCTGCAAACAAAAGACAAATAGTATATTGATCAGAACTAAATAGTTACTCTGGACTCATACTAAATAACATTCACATGATAAAAGCAACAAAACAGTTTAGAAGAGAAATGTAACAACAACAGGTCTCAAAATCATAGAAGTAAAATAAATCACATGTTTTCAATATATATTTACATATATAGTTGTAGTTTATAATACAATTTTATAAAAGGGACTATATTACGTTTTGTTCCTCTTCCCCTAAATAGCCATGTGAAATGATGCAATATAGTGAAACTGAACATTTATTTCCTCTGTTGCTTCTCTTTTAAAATAATGTAGTTGATTTGAGTTCTTTGTACATTTCACCTTGAAGAAAGGGATAATCGTATGGTGACACAAATGGTCCCTAGGACTTCTCAGAACCAGTAGACTAAACCACAGAAAAAGTAGCAGACATTTTTCTAACATGTATACAGTTCATCCATTTGATTTGAAAAGTGATAAGCTTCAGAAGATTTTCTTTGATTCATTTCTAAGTTGGCCAAATCATGGTAGAATTGCAGAATCAACATTAAATAGAGCTTTGTGGAACCATCTCCAATGCAGTATATTTTGTATTAAATAAGTTTACAAGTAAAAGCCCTGGGATAAATAAAGAAAGGAATCTCTGTGAATCCTGCAATAATCACAGTGATTCCCCTGAAGCGCAATGGTGATTATATTAAAAACAAGAATTATACATTGTTGCTATGTTAATATTAAGCCAATTTCATAAAAATAACAAAGAAAATATTCTTTCTTATATGCTAACAGATGTGGGCATAAAATCTTACTTTATAACTATCTCAAAGTAGATTCAAATAAGAAAATGCTTTCAACATTTAACTGTTACTTTCCTCTATTATAATACGCACCTGAATTCATATGAAGCATTCAAAAATTGTTATACCTATCATTGTCATTAGAGAGACCTCTTTACATATCAAGTGAGTAAATATTGGCTGTGTGGAAGAGTCTATTGACTCAGAGTGCCTACCATATCCACAGCCATTTTCTGACAAAAGCAACCACGAGCTATTCTTTGAGCATAAATTAATGTGCTTTTTGTTCTGTCCCCTGAGAAAGAAAAGAAACTTTTTATCTGAGGAATGCAGCCCCCTTTAAATTATCAGGCCCAGAGAGGCATAGGAATGAGGTAGGAGTCACATCCCACTAACCCTCTTGAGCTGAGTAATCATCCTCTTGAAGCCACCTGCTGCATGGACTTTAGACTGAATATTGCCACAATACTCATAAATTAACCTAATGATGTCATATGCTGGGCATCATAACTTACACGCTGTGGTTCAACAACGTCTAGCCAATTATTAATCAGTGTTATAGATCTTTAAACCAATGAGAATTCCTGAAAAACAACGTTTGTAATCCCCCCTCTCCTGATTTGTCCTTTTTTCTTTAAAAGCTCCAGTCTCTCTTTTGTTCTCCAGAGCACTTCTCAAGGTAACTTGGAAGTGTTCCCCAAGCAGCTGTCCTAACGTTACTTGGCTTAAGTAAACTCTTTAAAATCATATTTTGTGCCTCAGCTTCTTCTTTCAGATTTTTACCCCTAAAACCTTGGCTGTAGCTGATTGGCTGTGATCATACATTTTTCCTCACTGAGAGCTTTAGTTGTGAAAACACAAAACCACACAAAGGGAAGTTAGTATAAAAAAAGTTGTAGCAGACAAATTGAAGCTGAGGAATTGAGTAAGAGTGAGATTCAGTGTGAAAAAAATGAGGCGGAGAATCAAGATGGTGGATTATTATAGAAGCAGCTAGTGTGCGTGGCTCTCAGGGAGAAGAAATGAAATAGTAAACATTGACCCTGCCAGCCGACCATCTAAGAAACCATTTCATTTCGAGACCCATCAAGGGAGTGAGGGGACACAGACAACAGGGAAATGCAAAGTTGGGCTGCAACCCATCGGGGATTGGCCAGCTCCACATAGGGGAAATGCTAAGTGAGAGCCCCCAGGGGATCCACACTTCCCAAAGGGAGCTGTGCATGCCTGGGAACAGGAGAATCTCCCTAGCTCCAGGGGCCTCTAGACTGACATAGAGAGCAGTCGGAGTTTTTGCGGAGGCAACACTCAAGACCACAGGGACCTACACGGGCCTTGGACACTGTGCAGCCAGGCACCAGCTGCCATAGCCCCAATAGAGGCCACAGTCATGATGTCCAGGAGCAGTAAGATTGCTCCAGTCTGCCTCACCAGCTTGAGCCAGCTTCCAGCACAATGGTCTCACTTCTGCCAGTGCCGGTCCTTGTTCCCCCAGGAAGCACCCGAATGGCAGAGCCAGGCGACTCCACCCATCCTCCGCCGTACATGACCCAGCAGATTACACTTGCTGGAGCTTTCAGCACAGCGGACCTGATTCCGCCGGAACTTTGTGGGCAGGAGTGTCGCTAGATTAGCTGACTCCATCCACCTCTGCTGCTCCTAGCCTGTTACAACACACTGGCTCGGGTGGCGCCCAAGCAAGGGGAGAGCCCTCACTCTCAGAACACTGAGAGGGGTGAGGTGCCCACGTTCATGGGCCTGCAAGGGAGCGAAGCATTCCTCCCTTTGCAGGGCCAGGCCAGAAGGGTATAAATGACTACCAACTGTGGCCCCTGACTGAGGGAGCCCTGCAGACCAGAACAACCAACAAAAGAAACATGGATGTAGAGCCAGTGACTAGAGGGTGTTCTTCCAATGCTCAGGAGTGGACCAAGTGAAGGGTTATTTCTTTCTCCCCACGACACAGAACACGACTGTGAACTTGCCAAAATACAACAGAACCATGCGACTAACAGCCTATCTGCAGGCCACAAATCTCAAACGCTACCAACTGTATCGCAGTCCAAAATACAACACCAAAATATTTTACCAGTATACAGCACCTGTGAAAACTAAGGCAAAATTCCAGCCACAAATAAAGATTCAGCAGAGTGTTGGCCCACTGAAAACACCCAGAAAAGAATCCAATTGACTATATTCAACTTACATCACAGTTAAAGGAATACCAGCCCTCATGTATGGGAAATAATCAGTGCAAGAACTCTGGCAATTCAAAAAGCCAGTGTGTCTCCTTATCTCCAAACAACACACTAATTCCCCAGAAATGGTTCTTAACCAGATTGAGATGACTGAAATAATAGACATACACTTCAGAGTCTAGAGGGCAAGGAAGCTCACTGAGATCCAGGAGAAAGTTGAAATGCAAACCAAGAAATGCAAAACAAACAAACAAATAAACAAACAAAAACAGTAAAGTGATCCAGGACCTGAAAGATGAAATAGCCATTTTGAGAAAGAACCGAACTGAATTTCTGGAACTGAAGAATTTACTTCAAGAATTTCATAATGCAATTAAAAGCATTAACAGCAGGATAGATCAAGCTAAGGCAAAAAATCTCAAACCTCGAATACCAGTTCTTTAAACCAGCTCAGTAAGATAAAAATAAAAAATAATTTTTAAAAATAAGCAAAAGCTTCGAGAAATGTGGGATTGTGTAAAGAGATGAAATATGCAAATTATTGGCATTCCTGAAAGAAAGAGAGAGAACAAGCAACTTGGAAAATATAGTTGAGGATATAGTCCATGAAACTTTCCCCAATTTTGTTAGAGAAGAGGACATACAAAATCAAGAGATACAGAGAACCCCTGTGAGATACTACATAATGTGTCCATCCCCAAGGCATAGTCGTCATATTTGCCAAGTTCAACACAGAGGAAAAAATCTTAAAGGCAGCTAGAAACAAAGGTAAGATTACCTACAAATGAAACCCCATCAGGCTAGCGGCAGACCTCTCAGCAGTAACCTTGAGAATCAGAAGAGATTGGGGATCTATTTCCAGCATTTTTTGTTTGTTTGTTTTTGAGACAGAGTCTCGCTCTGTCGCCCAGGTTGGAGTGCAGTGGTGCGATCTCTGCTCACTGGAACCTCCGCCTCCCGGGTTGAAGCGATTCTCCTGCCTTAGCCTCTTGAGTAACTGAGACTACAGGCACATGCCACCTCACCTGGCTGATTTTTTGTATTTTTAGTAGAGACGGGGTTTCACCGTGTTAGGATGGTCTCGGTCTCCTGACCTCGTGATCCGCCCGCCTCTGCCTCCCAAAGTGCTGGGATTACAGGTGTGAGCCACTACGCCTGGCCTATTTTCAGCATTTTTAAAGAAAAGAAATTCCAACCAAGAATCTCATATCCCACCAAACTAAGCTTCATAAGCAAATGAGAAGTAAAATATTTCTCCGATAAGCAAGCACTAAAGGAATTCACTGACACCAGATCAGCCTTACAAGAGGTCCTTAAGGGAGTGCTAAACGTGGAAACGAAAGATCGAAACCTGCAACAACAGAAACACACTCAAACATATAGTCTTCAGACAGTATAAAGCAATTACACAATTAAGTTTACAAAACAAACAGCCAACAACACAAAGAGGATCAAAATCTCATATATCAATACTAACCCTGAATGCAACTGGTCTAACCACTTCACTTAAAAGGCATAAAGTGGTAAGCCAGAAAAAAACAAAACGAAACAAAAAAAACACACATCTCTCTGCTGACTTCAAAAGGCATATCTCACATGTAAATATCTCACATGTAAAGACACTCGCAGGCTCAAAGTAAAGAGATGAAGAATAATCTGTCCTATGAATGGGAAACAGAGAAGAGCAGGAGTCATTCTTACATCAGGTAAAACAGACTTTAAACCAACAACAATCGGGAAGGACAAAGAAGGGCATTATATAATGATAAAGGGTTGAATTCAACAAGAAGATTTAACTATCCTAAATATATACACACCCAACACTAGAACACCCAGATTTATAAAGCAAGTTCTTGACTATACAAAGACTTAGACAGACACATGTTAATAGTGGGGGATGTCAACACCCCAATGACAGCATTAGATTATTGAGGCAGAAAATTAACAAAGAAATTCTGGACTTAAACTCAAAACTTGATTAATTTGACCTGATAGACATCTACATAATCCTCCACCCAACAGCCACAGACTATATTAGATTTATGCAAAAGCAAATGTGGTTTTTCCCATTACTTTCAATGGCAAAAGCCGCAATTACCTTTGCACCAACCTAATATAGTCTTCTCATCTGCACATGAAATGTATTCTAAGATCAACCACATGCTTGGCCATAAAACAAGTCTCAGTGAATTCAAAATAAGAGAAAAAGCAAAACATTATTCAAAAACAGCAACACAAATTAACAAAATCTTTGAGATAAAATTAAAACTGTGTTAAGTGGAAAGTTTATAAGAATTAATGCCTTCATCGCATCTAGAGGAACTAGAAAAAAAAAAGAGCAGCCCAACCCCAAATCTATAGATAGAAGGAAAGAAATAACTAAAATCAAAGAACTGAACAAAATCAAGACCCAACAGTTCATACAATGAAACCAAGATTTGCTTCTTCAAAAAATTAACAACACTGATAGATCACTAGCTAGATTAACAAAGAAAAATAAAAGAAAACATTCAAATAAGCACAATCAGAAATAACAAACATGACATCACAACCATTCCCACAGAAATAAAAAAAAATCTCAGAGACTGGTATTAACACCTCTACTTACACAAATTAGAAACTCTAGAGGAAATCAGTGTATTCCTGGAAACAAAGGACTTCTTAAGATTGAACCAGGAGAAAAGTGAAAACCTGAACAGACCAATAACAAGTTCAGAAATTAAATCAGTAATTGAAAAAAAAAACAATACCAACCAAAGGCAACCCTGGTCCATATGAATTCACAGCTGAATTTCACCACATGTACAAAGAAAAACTAATACGAATCCTATTGAAACTATTCCAAAAAATAAGGGAGTAGGGGCTCCTCCCTAAATTACTCTATGAAGCCAACATCACCCTGGTACCAAAATCTGGCAAAAATACAATGAAAAAAGGAAACTTCAAGCCAATATCCCTGATAAACATAGATATAAAAATCCTTGACAAAATATTAGCAAACCAAATTCAGCAGCACATCAAAAAGTTAATTCGCCACAATCAAGCAGGCTTTAATCCTGGGGTGTAGGACTGCTTCAACATGCCCAAATTAATAAATGGGATTCCCCACATAAACAGATTTAAAAAAAGACCATATGGTCATCACAATAGATGTAGAGAAAAACACCTTTGATATAATCCGACATGCTTTCATGATAAAAACTCTCAACAGACTGGCTATCAAACAAGCATACTTCAAAATAACAAGAGCCATCTATGGAAAACATATAGATGAATGAGCAAAAGCTGGAACGTTCTCCTTGAGAACTGGAACAAGATAAGGATGCTCACTTTCACCACTTGTATTCAACATAGTACTGGAAGTGCTAGCCAGAGAAAGCAGGCAAGAAAATGAAATAAAAGACATTCAAATATAAAAAGAAGTCAAGCTCACTGATGATATGATTCTACACCTAGAAAATCTGAAAAGACTCTGCCAAAAGGCCCCTGGAACTGATAAACTATTTCACTAAAGTTTCAAGATACAAAATCAATATACAAAAATCAGTAGCATTTTTATACACCAATAGTGTCCAAGCTTAGAGCTGAATCAAGAATGCAATCCCATTTACAATAGCCACAAAAATAGTAAAATACCTAGGAATATATCTAACCAAGGAAGGGAAATATCTCTACATGGAGAACTACAAAACGCTCCTTAAAGAAATCATAAATGACACAAACAAATGGAAAAGTATTCCATGCTTATAAATGGAAAAAATCCGTATTATTAAAATGGCCATACTGCCTAAAGCAATCTACAGATTCAACTCTATTCCTATCAAACTGCCAGTGTCATTTTTCACAGAACTAGAGAAAACTATCCTAAAATTTATATGGAACCAGAAAACAGCCCAAATAGCCAAAGCAATCCCAAGCAAAAAGAACAAAACAGGAGGCATTGCATTACCTAACTTCAAACTATACTATGAGGCTACAGTAATCAAAACAGTATGATACTAGTACAAAAATAGACACATAGACCAACGGAATAGAATAGAAAGCCTAGAAATAAACTCACATACCTACAGCCATCTGATCTTCAACAAAATCAATGACAATAAGCATTGGCAAAAGGACCCCCTATTCAATAAATGGTGGTGTGACAACTGGCTAGCCATATGTAGGAGAATGAAACTGATGCCTTGCTTTTCACCATACATGGAAATTAACTCAAGATGAATTAAAGGTAAAATGTAAGACCTCAAAGAGTAAAATTTTTAGAAGAAAACCTAGGAAACAAACCTCTCTATATCAGCTTTGGCAAATAATTTATTGCTAAGTCCCCAGAAGCAATGCAACAAAAACAAATATTGATAAGTGGGACTTAATTAAACTAAAGAGCTTCTGTATAGCATAAGAAATTACCAACAGAGTAAACAGACAGCCTAGAAAATGGAGGAGAATATTTGCAAACTATGCATCTGACAGAGGTCTAATATTCAAAATCCACAAGAAGCTTTTATTTGTCCATTTTCACACTGTTATAAAGAAATATCTGAAACTGGATAATTTATAAAGGAAAGAGATTTAAATGATTCACAGTTCCTCATAGTACGGAAGCCTCAGGAAACTTACAATAATGGCAGAAGCAGAAGCAGGCACTTTCTTCACAAGATGGCAGGAGAGAAATTGTGTGAAGGAGGAACTGTCAAACACTTATACAACCATCAGTTCTCATGAGAACTCACTATCACAAGAACAGCATGGGGGAAACCACTCTCCTGATCCAATCACCTTCCTCCCTTGACATGTGGGGATTACAATTCGAGATGAGATTTGGGTGGGGACACAGAGCCAAACCATATCAGAGCTTAAATCAACAAGCAAAAGCAAACACTCCAATTTAAAAATGGCCAAAGTACATAAACAAACACTTCTCAAAAGAAGATGGATACGTGGCCAACAAACATATGAAAACATGCTCAACATCTCTAATCATCAGAGAAATTACATGAGCCAGAATGGTGAGTATTAAAAGGTCAGAAAATAACAGATGCTGGCAAGGCTGGGGAGAAAAAGGAATGCTTATACACTGTTGGCGTGTACAAGCACACAACTAGTTTGCAACTCGAATGCAAACTAGCCACTATTGAAAGCAATTTGGAGATTTACTAAAGAACTTAAAACAGAACTACCATTCAACCAAGCAATTCCATTACTGGCTGTAAAGCCAAAAGAAGACAAGTCATTCTACCAAAAAGACACAGGCACTCGTATATTCATTGATGTACTATTCACAATAGAAAAGACATGGAATTAATCTATGTGACCATCAATGGTGAAATGGATAAAGAAACTGTAGTACACATACACCATGAAATACTATGCAGTCGTGAAAAAAATGCAACTGTGTCCTTTACAGCAACATTGATGGAGCTGGAGGCCATTATCCTTAGCAAATAAATGTAGGAGCAGAAAACCAAATACCACATGTTTTCACTTATAAGTGGAATATACATGGACATAAAGATGGGAACAATACACACTGAGTACTACTAGATGGAGAAGGGGCAAGAGGGGCATGGGCTGAAAAACCACCTATTGGGGACTGTGCTTACTATCTGCGTGACAGGATCAATTGTACCTCAAACCTCAGCTGTACACAATATACTCATGTAACAAACCTGCACATATACCCTTTAATATGTAATAAAAGTGGAAATTATTTAAAAATAATGTTGAAGATAAAAGGTTTAAAAAATGATAAGGAGAATGAGAGGCATGATGAAGTTACTAGGGTAGTGGTTATCAAACTTTACTGCAACTTAGAATCACTTAGGGGAATCTTAAAAATCTCAATGCCCAGGATGAATCCTAGATCCATTGTACCAGAATGTCTGGGGTGCGACTGAGCCATTTGTACTTTTAAATCTCCCCAGGTGATTCCAATGTAAGGCCAATACTGAGAATCGCATGATAGTGCAATAGGTGAGCAATACTGAGAGGGTGTAAAAGTGGCCAGACTATCACTAAAAGAGCAATTGTATTTTGAATATAGTTGAGATATGGTTGTTTTCTCTGTGAAGCCTGAAAATGCGTCTCTTGAGCTGGTTTCTTGTGCTTCCTCAGTCAGTCAGGGATCCTTGTAATAATAAAGTAACAATAAATTCTGAGGGAACTTGAGCTTGCATACAATCTTCCCAAACTGCAAGGATTTAAATAATTCCTTTTCATCCATATCCAATTACCATATCATTAAATTAAATAATTAAAGGCCAAATAAGAGAAACAGGAGCACTTTACCACTATGGAATACAGTGCAACTTTTCCAAAAGTAAAATGATGGCAGAAAAGATTGAGAAAATACTGTTCTTAAAAGTGTTAATAGGTGCTTGCATAGAAATGAAATAAGATTTAAGTGCTAAATAAAACCATGCAAGGTATACTTTCCAGTAAAAAGAAACCTCACATGTGCATTTCCAAAATAAAGTAAGAAGTCTATGTGACACAGAAGGAGTCTTATGACTCAGAACTTAAACAAAGATGTGAGAAACTGAAAATATTAAAAATTATTCTAAACTTTAATAAATACACTACTATACTGAGTTTACATTGAGGAATTACATGATGCCCGATGTGGTTAAAAAAAGAATCTCCCTTCTAGTATTTGAATACCAGATGTAAATTTGTGTGCACCTAAATCCATTCATTCTGCTACATGCAGATGGAAGTCATACTTTTGTATTATAATTAAATATAGAGTGTGTAACTATTCTTTGTGTGCTCAACATTAATGGAAAGAGTATGACTTAAGTGCATATTTATTTTTGTAATACATGTGGACCTTAGGACTGGAGTTGTATGTTGACATCATAAATGAAAATTTTTAAAGTTTTATTAATGTTTTTTCAACCTGTTTCTTATTTTCCCAAGATATTATGCTGCCACTTGAATAAACCAGTCAAATTTTCAACTTACTTAAAGGGAAATATATTAAGGGCATATCAACATTGAGAAAAAAATTATATTTATTGCTCAAAATATACCAATAGTGACTGCTGAAATTCAAAGCAGAAATCTTAACACAAGTGCATTTCTTTCGGTTTTGCTTTTAACCGCATTATAGTTTTGTACCATTTTTATATTTGTTTTCTTCTTCACTCTTAATATTGTGAGAAAAGGATGAAGTGTTCCAGAAATGTTTAAAATGTTAGTGACACACATTATGTTCTCCTACTGATTTTGGTCTTAGTTTTTAGATTAGCTATAAAGTAGCATAAATAAAAGTGCTTAAAAAAACAAAGCTGTGTAGTGGTAGTGTGATCACCAACAATGTTAGCAGTGCTACTTTTTTTAACTTTATTGCATCTTACTGCAAGTCTATATGCCATATAACTTTTTTTCTGGAATGCTTTTCAGAGTATATTTGATATGTGGCAAAAATTTTATTCTACTTCTTTAAAATAAAACATTTTTAAGTAGCAAGAACTCCAGCTCTTTGGACCATAATAATATTTCACTTACCTAACCTCCAAAAAACAGTAAGTAAATAATTAAAAGCAGCCAGGACGTAGAGAAAACCCAAAGTAGAATAAAAACACTAACAAATAAATCAAACTGAATTAAGAAAATGAATAACATAACTACAACGAAGGGGATGGATGAAGACTAGAAATAACCTAAGTAATTGGAAAACAATATCCTGACTGGATGTTCTAAGGGTAGGGAATAAAAGAACTCTACATATGTGATGCACTATGGTTGGTGAATGTGCTTTGTGTGGAGTTATTTTTTAGCAACTTTGAAACTACTTTTCATGTATACTAGCACTGAAGCTACTAAATATATTGTAGATAACAAATAAGCAATTAAATATATAGTAGATAATAAAAGCCAGGTTTCCCATTGTTAGTGAAATAACTTAAAAATAAGTACGAAGACTAAAATTGACCCAGAATGAACTTTGTTGTGCTAGATTCAGTATAAACTCATGGCAGAAATACAGATATGTTTCTATATATATATGCTTAGGTTTAATTTACATATATATATTTCCTAGCCCTGTCCACTGAAAGACACCGTAAAGCAATGATGCCCTAATAGCAATGAGAATGCCTAGAGTATAAATTTAAGATCATTCTTCAGTAAAAGAAACAGGGCTTTTTAGAGAAATGGTTGATTTCATGGTTGGAGCGGGGAAAATACAACATTGTCCTGGAATATCTTGTGGGATCAGAATATGAACATGCTTGGCTTAGGAAAAGATGGGAGCCTGTTGAAAGAAGACATGAGCCAACAGGAAAGAGCTCTTATTGGCCAAAGATGAAACTATTTGAGCAAGAAATAATGGTAATATTGGATTGTAACTTCAAAAATACATGTCCACAAGTCAATAATGTTGTAAATAACCACAACAAAGGGATATATAGTATATTTACAGTGGAGAAATCCAGCAGATACCACCTTAACTATGCTCTGAAAGTCACTGTCACCAACAATAAGATATACTGGTACTACTAACAATATCAAATAATGTATTAATAAAAAAAGCATAGGCCAGGTGCGGTGGCTTACCCTTGTAATCCCAGCACTTTGGGAGGCCAAGGCAGGTGGATCACGAGGTCAGGAGATCGAGACCATCCTGGCTAACAAGGTGAAACCCAGTCTCTACTAAAAATACAAAAATTAGCCAGGCATGGTGGCGGGCACCTGTAGTCCCAGCTACTCAAGAGGCTGAGGAAGGAGAATGGCTTGAACCCGGGAGGCGGAGCTTGCAGTGAGCCGAGATTGCGCCACTGCACTCCAGCCTGAGCAAGAGTGAGACTCCGTCTAAAAAAAAAAAAAAAAAAAGCACAGCATAGTTTCTATGGTAATCTTTACATAACCTCAAATCATTCATAATAGAGTATCAAATGAACCCAAATTAGGAGAAATTCATCAAAATGGCTGATCTAAGCCCTTTAAAAGTGTCAGACTCCCAAAAAAAAAAAAAAACAAAGAGATAGACTGAGAGTCAGTTATAAATTTCAAAAGACTAAAGAGAAATAACAATTCAATACAATGTGGGATCCCAAGACAGGATCCTGAAACAGAGAGGACATTAATGGGTAAAAGGGAATTGGAATTAAGCTTTCTGTTTAGCTTAATAGAGTTTAGCAAATGTTATTTAAGATGTTAACATTTGCAAAAATTAAGTGAGATTATATGGACACTTTCTCTAATAATTTGCAACTTTTCTATAAGTCTAAAATTACTTCAAATTTAAACGTTAAATAAAGAGACTGAAGGCCAAGATATTCCCTTGTAAAATAATGTGTTTTACATTTCCATCATGTTTAATGGTGAATTTAATATGTATTACAGAATAATTTTAATTTAATGACTTATTTTAATAATAGTGAGAATAATAAGCTATTAGAAAACAATAAATGTAAATTATTCCATATGAAATAGCTAAGTAAATTCCAGATGGATTAAATAGTTTAATGCTAATAAAAATTATATTAAACATTTATTTTAAAAAATCAGCTGTCAAGAGGATGACTTTCTAAGTGTAAAGGTAGACGGAATAAAAAAAAAATAAGATCAAAGCTCTCCAGGGTATATTTGTTTACATAATTAAAAAGCAACTGTTGAACTATGTATAGTATTATCTCATTTTGTTTTTTTAAAAAAGTTGTTTAATGCATTTAAGAAAAAGTACTGGAAGGTTCTTATGAGACAAGTAGCAATGTGTCAATAAGGCCTGCGTCAGTTTCTATTCGCTGGATGTTTTAACCAGGAAAATATATGCATAGGAGTGAAAAAGAGTAGCATCAATAGATTTAATAATACAAATAATTTAAATGTTGAAAATACATGTATAGAAGTGAAAAAGAGTAGCATCAATAGATTTAATACAACAAATATTTTAAATGTTAAACTCAAGTTCAGCATGGTTACTTAAATTTTAGTGCTGATTTACCAATGACGCAGTCCATAAGACTACAAGCTCTGTTTTTATCTGAAATTTGGTATCATATAAATTACTTTCCTCAGAGATTTAAAACCACCTTTTGAATGTTGTTTTGTTCATAGCACACCTTGACTCTTTAGCATTTTGAAGATATGCGATTGTGCCTTAAGCAAAACCTGCTCTTGATTCTTTGATAAATTGATTCAGGCCCCAGTGGGCGCGGTGACTCACGCCTGTAATCCCAGCACTTTGGGAGGCCAAGGTGGGTGGATCACAAGGTCAGAAGATTAAGACTATCCTGGCTAGGCCGGGCGCGGTGGCTCACGCTTGTAATCCCAGCACTTTGGGAGGCCGAGGCGGGCGGATCACGAGGTCAGGAGATCGAGACCATCCTGGCTAACACGGTGAAACCCTGTCTCTACTAAAAATACAAAAAAATTAGCCGGGCGTGATGGCGGGCGCCTGTAGTCCCAGCTACTCGGGAGGCTGAGGCAGGAGAATGGCGTGAACCCGGGAGGCGGAGCTTGCAGTGAGCCGAGATTGCGCCACTGCACTCCCACCTGGGCCACAGAGCGAGACTCCGTCTCAAAAAAAAAAAAAAAAAGAAAAAAAAAAAAGACTATCCTGGCTAACAAAGTGAAACCCCATCTTTACCAAAAATACCAAAAATTAGCTGGGCATGCTGGCACATCCCTGTAATCCCAGCTACACAGGAGGCTGAGGCAGGAGAATCGATTGAAGCCGGGAGGCGGAGGTTGCAGTGAGCCCAGATCACACCACTCCACTCTAGCCTGGGCGACACAGCAAGACACTGTCTCAAATATATATATATATATATATATATAAATTTAATTTAAAAAGATAAATTGATTTATCAGGTTAAATCTTTTTTTAAATTGAAAAGGGTTGTCTTGCTTGTTCTGTTTTTCATTAAAGTAATCAGTCTATCTATCAGCCCAGAAATCAGAAATCGATTTGGTTACATTATCTTGGTTTCCATTGACTCAGGGCTGAGTGAGCACACTGAGAGGTAAGTAGAATTATTCTTCTTACCACTCAGGGCTGAGTGAGCACACTGAGAGGTAAGTAGAATTATTCTTCTTACCAAAGAGGGTTTTATTTTTGCTTTGAAAACTCGCCAGTGGAGCCATGGTAATGTTTTCTACAAAATCCAAAGTAATAACCCAAGATAAATGTAAATTGAAAACTCTGAAAAAATATTGGCAAGAATTTTGAATTTAAAAGTTAAATATCTTTGAGGTTCAAAGCATTCAACTAAATTTTTATGAAACCTATCACAGCATCAATGGATAAAGACACCATGAGTATATATCCACAGTCTATAAGAAAGAAAATTTTAAAATTCAGGTTCACTTGAAATCAAAGAAATTTTAAAGGAATAAAATGGCCAAAATATGAATGATAAAGTTAAATAAAATATTCAATGCTGCTGTGAAGTATGTACTGGTGCAGTCATGCATCACTAACATTGTAGTATGTTCTGAGAAATGCATTGTTAGGCAGTTTTGTCATTGTATGAACATTACAGAGTATACTTACACAAATTTAGATGGGCTTAGCCTAGGCTCTGCTGTATGGCATATTGCTCCTAAGCTACAAACTTGTACAGAATGTTACTGTATGGAATATTGTAGGCAATTATAATACAATAGTATTTGTGCATTTTTTATACTATATTTTAAGTTCTGAGGCACATGTGCAGAATGTGCAGTTCTGTTACATTGGTATACACAGGCCATGGTGGTTTGCTGCACCCATCAACCCGTCCCCTACACTAGGCATTTATCCTAATGCTATCCATCCCCTAGCCCCCTACTCCCTGAAAGGCCCCAGTCTGTGGTGTTTCCCTCCCTGTGTCCATGTGTTCTCATTGTTCAACTCCCACTTATGAGTGAGAACATGCGGTGTTTGTTTTCCTGTTCTTGGGTTAGTTTGCTGAGAATGATGTTTTCCAGCTCATCCATGTCCCTGCAAAGGGCATGAACTCATCCTTTTTTATGGCTGCATAGTATTCCATGGTGTATATGTGCCACAATGTATTTATGCAGTCTATCATTGATGGGCATTTGGGTTGGTTCCAAGTCTTTGCTATTGTGAATAGTGCTGCAATAAACATACGTGTGCATGTGATTTTATAGTAGAATGATTTATAATGCTTGGGGTATATACCCAGTATATTACTGGGTAATGGAATTGCTGGGTCAAATGGTATTTCTAGTTTTAGATCCTTGAGGAATTGCCACACTGCCTTCCACAAAGGTTGAACTAATTTACACTCCCACCAACAGTGTTTGTGTATTTTAACATATCTGAACTATATTTCTAAATATATAAAATGTACCATAGAAAATACAATATAAAAGACTAAAAATGGTACATCCATATAGGGTACTTACCATAAATGGAGCCTGCAGGACTGGAAGATACTTTGCATAAGTCAATTAATCTGATATCAGGCTGCTAATAAGTGTAATTTATAAAAGTAAGAGGTTTAATTGACTCACAATTCACCATACATGGGGAGGCCTCAGGAAACTTACAATCATGGCAGAAGGGGAGGTAAACACATCCTTCTTCACATGGGGGCAGCAAGGAGAAATGCTGAGCAAAGGGAGGAAAAGCCCCCTATAAAACCATAAAGTCTCGTGAGAACTCACTATCATGAGAACAGCAGGAGGGTAATCACCTCCATGATTAAATAACCTCCCACTGTGACCCTCCCACAACATGTGGGGATTATGGGAATTACAATTTAAGATGAGACTTGGGTAGGGACACAGCCAAATCATATCAGTCAGTGAGTGAGCAATGAGTGAATGTAAAGGCCTAGGAAGGTACTGTTCACTACTGTCGACTGCATAAACACTGCACACTTATGCTACACTAAATTTAATTTTAAAACATTTTATCTTCAATAATAAATTAACCTTAGCTTAATGTAACTTTTTTACTTTATAAACTTTTAATATTTTAAAAAACAATTTGGCTCCTTTGTAGTAGCACTTAGCTTAAAACACAAAACACATTATACAGCTATACAAAATTCCTTTCTTTACATCATTATTTCTATTTTTAATTAATTTTAAATTTTCTTTTTCTTTGAAAACTTTTTTGTTAAAACCAAGACACAAACACACACATTAGCCTAGGCCTACACAGGGTCAGGATCATCCATATTGCTGTCTTCCACCTCTACATCTTGTCCCTCTGGAAGGTCTTCAGGGGCAATGACATGCATAGAACTGTCATCTCCTTTGATAACAATGCCTTCTTCTGGAATACCCCATGAAGGACCTGTCTGTGGAGGTTTTAGAGTTAACTTTTTATTTTAATAAGTAGAATAAAAGCAGTATAAAATAAAGAGGAAAAGTCAAAGTGGTTGGTTTACACTGGCATCATCACAAACACATAAGTAATAAGTAATGTGTTTGTGTGCACTATGCCTTTACAATGCCTATGATGTCACTAGGCCAAAGGAATTTTTCAGCTAACTATAATCTTATGGAATCATCATTGTATATATGATGGGTTGTTAATTGAAATGCCACTATGCAGTGCATGACTGTACATTTTTATAGTATTGTGAATTTGTGTAACGTTTCTGGAAAAAATCAGACCATTAAGTATTAAGCATTAGCAGGTTCAAAAATACACATTTTCTCTTATCTAGGATATCATTATCTCATTTCTATAAATGTATTTAAATCGTCATAATTATTACATATTTTAAATAAAAATAATTGTTATAGTAATGTTAAGCATGATGAAAAATTTGAAAACAACTTGAGATTTAAGTATATTATATTTTAACCTCATAATAGAATATTTTGAAATTATTGAAATTTGTTCTTATGAAGATTTGAAATAAATGAAAAATATTTACACCATTGACTCAAATTTCATCTGAAAAATTGAATAATTTTAGCACAACTATTTTAAAGCATTTGTCCTGAGAATAATTGGAAGACAATGTACTAAAATGTTATTACTAAGTTTTTTGGAGATAATATAATATATTCCTCTTTTCCACAAAATTCTTCAAAGTACATTTGTTACAGTTATTTCAGAGAAAATAAAATAAACTTTTAAAATATTTTAATATAAATAAAAAATCCTCATAAACATGTTCTCAAGACTTAGTAAACAATTTGTGGATTCAACCCAATGACCTTTTCAAAAAAAGAGCCATCAAAGGTATTATTAAATTATATACTATTAAGTATTGTTTTATTTACAGTCCTCAACATTTACATTCATAATCACATCAAAATGGAATAGAGAAGACCAATAAAAATGTGAGTTTGGAAAAATCACCTTGTAGTATATCTATATCAAGGTCTAAAAAGAACACCACCTAATCATACAGGAAAAAACAGAACTATTTACAGAAGAAATAAAAATATTTATGCAAAATTTATTATCATAGTTGCAATCTTTATTTATTTATTTATTTATTAACAGAGTCTCACTCTGTCACCCAGGCTGTAGTGCAGTGGCATGATCTCAGCTCACTGCGACCTCCACCTCCTGGGTTTGAGCGATTCTCCTGTCTCAGCCTCCCGAGTAGCTGAGATTACAGGTGCACATCACCACGCCTGGCTAATTTTTGTATGTTTTTTCAGTAGAGACGGGGTTTCGCCATGTTGGTCAGGCTGGCCTCAAAATCCTCACCTCAGTTGATCCACCCGCCTTGGCCTCCCAAAGTGCCGGGATTACAGGCGTGAGCCACTAAGCCCGGCCCATAGTTGCAATCTTAATCTGATGTTTCTGCTCCCCTGTACAGACAGAAGTTTTAATTGTTGAACTTAATGTCTTCATAAAAAGAAAAACAATTAATGTATTTACATATTTATATTAACTATGTGAAAAACAATATGACTATGATCTTCATTGTATAATAGGGATTATCACTATTTGAAAAGCCTATTTTTAAAGTCAAAATATATTGCCTGGAGTTTTAATAATTCCTGAGAAAAGTACTTTTGCCTCCATTTAATAAATAAACTAGTTATGAGGCAGTCTTTATGGCCTTTTCTAGTTATGCAAAAAAATGAATTTTCATGAAAATGACTAGATCCAACTCCAAGATTATAAATCTTAGATTAAGAAAGAAGAAAGACTAGATATCCTTCAACGTGTTCTTATTTTTCACCCTGATGAAGTAGCTAAAGATCACTACTTTAGAGGATAAAAATTAATCTTTACATTTTGCCTGGAAAGAACCTCTAAGATTACTAAAGGCAGGGTTGTCTATATGGCTTGACAGAAGTGCCTTTTATGAGCTCATGGAAAAGTGTATTAACTGGAAGTCCCCTTCCTACTTAGTTTCTAACTATTTTAGTAAAAACCTTGAACTCTCCTCAAGAGAGGCATTCAGCTTACTCTAAAAAAAGGACACCAAGTAATCAGGCACTTCTTAATATTGTACTAGGACAGATCAATGAGTAAGAAGTTTTTGTCTTTGAAGTTCCAGTTGAAAGTTTTATTCTCTTCATTACAGCATGAACTTCTGAATCTTGTAGGCTGTGTGTTTCCAGGCATTCTGCCATTTATCATTTCCTTCCTGACAGGATCCTGATATCTAACAATGTAATTATGTTAGGATAGCATCTTCCCTCTAACACTAACTAGGAAATTTCTCTTCCTTTAAGTACCAGAAATGATAAATAATTTTAGACTGAACTACGTGCAGTTCTCTCTTTGGAAACTTGTTCCTAAAATGCCTTATAAATTAGTTGTTATGAGAGAGAGAAAAAAAATAATAAAAGCACAGTCAAACAATTCCCATATGTAAATAGCATGTTATATACTTTCAAATTCTACTCAAGGTGCTAAGATAAATAATACATTACTCTACCATAAACATTCACTGGGTGTTTTATTCTAATTTATTGAGGGAGGAAAAAATTATAGCTTTGCATTTTATTGACTGTTATCTTTTTGGAAAATTTTATTTCTAGGAAACATTTTCATTTGTGACTTTAAAATTAGTGTGTGTTGATGAAGTCACCAAGTCATAGTTCAATTACGGTGGGATAGTTTCAGTTATTCATTCAAACTGGGAAACTTGCGCTTTCAGGTCTTGGCAAGGTTAGCTTAGTTTAGGGTACCCCAGAGACTAGCTTGGATTTCTCAACTGGGTCAAAAATGATTAAGATATTATCATATTTTGTGAATTCTTAATATGTGTTGAAATAATTAATTTGGTGCTTGGCATGAATTAAGCAATACATATGTGTTAAATTTAGATTTATGGTATAACGGGGTATGGGAACAAAAACACAAACATTTGCAATACACAGAGGCGAATACACCACAAATACACAAACACAAAAACACATGGACATAGCCATAATCAGTAGTATTTGAGTCTTTATATGAACAAGAATTAAATACAAACTAAAAGTCTCAGTAAGGTGTGTTGGTCTGCTCAGGTCACTGTGTAAAGCACCAGAGATTGCATGGCTTAAACAACAGAAATTTATTTTCTCACAGTACTAGAGGCTAGAAGTCCAGGATCTAGGGATCGATCATCAGGTATGATTTCTCCTGAGGCTTTTCTGCTTGGCTTGCAGATGACCGCCATCTTGCTGGATCTGCACTTGCCCTTTCCTCTGTGCGCTTACACCTCGTGTCTCCTTATGTGTCCAATGTCCTCTTCTTATGAGACTATCGTTCAGATTGGTTTAAGGCTGACCCCCAACCAATGGCCTTATTTTAGCCTAGTCACCTCTTTTTTTTTTTTTTTAAGACAGAGTCTCACTCTGTCACCAGGCTGGAGGGCAGTGACACAATCTCGGCTCACTGCAACCTCCGCTTCCGGCTTCATTCTCCTGCCTCAGCCTCTGGAGTAGCTGGGACTACAGGCGCCTGCCACAATGGTGAGCTAATTTTTGTATTTTTAGTAGAGACGGGATTTCACCATGTTGGCCAGGATGGTCTCGATCTCTTGCCCTCGTGATCCTCCCACCTGGGCCTCCCAAAGTGCTGAGATTACAGGTGTGAGCCACCGCTCCCATCTGCGTTGTCATCTCTTAAAGGTCCTATCTTCAAATAGTCACATTCTGAGGTACAGAGGGTTAGGGCTTCAATATATGAATGCTATTTATTTTATGTTTCTCTCAATTTAAGATACTGTATTGCTAAATCACAATTTTCTTAAAAATGTTTAAAACATAAAATAAAAATTAGACTTGTCTTTTTAAAAGTTTCATGGAGTCGCACTTTTCAGTTGATGTCATAGTTTCTATAAGCTTCCACAATATAAAATAAAATATTCCTTCCATATCTGATAGGATTAGCACAAATGCATTCCAACATTTTTTAAATTACTGACTAAATGTACAACTAAATCCAAAAGCGGCGTTTTCTGTGTTTTAGTAGTTTACTTCAGTCGGAACTGTTCAAAAGGATGAAAAATAATTAAATCATTAATATTTTATTGTATATATTACTAAGATTTTGATTTTCTTAACAATTTAATAATTCCTTCCAATAAAAATTTATACTTTATTCATAGAAAAGCACATGTAGCTAATGATGTAAGTTGGATTTATTTTGTGTCTTTTATTACTTCTTTAATAATTAACCATTCTTTTAAGTTAAAGATTTGAGATTACTATGTTTTAAATTATGATGTCACTAGTATTCATGCAGGCCAATATGTAAGAGAGTATTTAGACAATACCAGATAATTTGTTATCCTCATATGGGTGAGGAAAGTAGAATCTGTGTGAAAGGAAGGAAACATTTTCCACCTACTTGTCCCTTTTGCCATCCTCCATTGGACAACCATTGCATGTGGTATTTGTTGGGCAGTTCCAGCATGCACTCTATTAAGACAGTGAGTGGAGGTGGATGGAGTCAGGTCATGTGGTAAGAGGAGCAAACAAGTAGAGATAAGGGTAAATTGGAAAAGAGGGAAGCATATTAGATATATCGGCCCGATGGGGCATCCTTAACTATTCAGAGGACCAAAGATCATTGTATGCCAGTGGGTCAAAAGGAGGAAGACTGTACAGTTAGGAAAGGAGGTAATAAGCATACTAGAATACTTTAGATATGATGTCATGCAGATCAATCAGCATGGCAAACTTGCATGTGTTGCTGGCTACATCTCCAAAAATCAACCCTGGGGAAACTACAGAAGAAGAAAACATACTGGGATAAATCATATAGAACCTTGAGAAACTGCCAAGATCAAAAGCTGTCTTGGACTAAGATGATGGGTGGCAGTCTGGGGCAAGGGTGGCCAGAAGGAAGTGGCAGAATAGGTTGAGGAGAGGTTATAAATTCCACTTTCTCCTCTTCACAACATCACCTGGGAAAAGTTGTTTCCTCTTCCTTACCCATATAAATCAACAGCAACAATTGAGACCACAGTGGGCAGGAAGTGGTTGCAATAATTTCAGGACCGTATGAAAGCCAAACTGGGTTGAGAAACAAATGAGAGTGGTGGTTTATTCATGTCTCCCCATCCAAACCTCCAGGGCTGGTGGATTACGTCTTGCTTTAGTGTTTCTTTCTCAAAATATTACAGGAAAATCCTGAACATACTATTTGATTGGTGCCAGCAAATGGGCTTGTATAAAATTTTGGAGCCTGACTTTTATGCTCTAGGGCTGATTCCTCCTCCTCTTAAACTCCTGACAAGTAACAGGGAAGAAAATTTTGCCAGTCCCCAGTGCCCATCACTACACAAGATAGCCGTTAACCCAGGGAAAATGAAAGCACTGGACAATTAATTACACACACAGTACATCCAACATAAATGAAAAAACAGAATAACATATATCAAAGACAAAAGGAGAATCCTGCTGGACTCAATAACAACAGCAACAACTCAAAGCTAAAATTCAATAATATGTTGCCTATAGGAGACACACTCCTTTCTTAAAAAAGACAAAGAAAGTGAAAATAAGTAGATGGAAAAACATATACCAGGGGAAAGAAAGCTGCGGTATAAATTTAATGTCTGAAAGAAAGTACTCAAGAAAAAATTAGATGAGACAAAGATAAGTGTTCTATACCGGTATGATTAAGTAAGTCAAAGTAACTATCACAAAACCCATATATTGAAAACTTTAGTCTCTAAATTTATAAAGTTGTAACTGACACTGTGATGGATTGACTCACTATATAAAGAGAAGTAAAAGCAGTTTTGTTCCCAAAACCATATGGTGAGTTGGACATCTAAATGGAAAAGGTAAAACTATAAACTTAATAGAAAATTAAGGAATTATTTTTAACAAACTCTCATAACAAATTATAAGGCATTAAATTTATATAATCAACAACATCAAAATTAGGGATTTCCGTTCAGTGAATTATACCAGAGCCAAAGTGATCAGATGACAATGTCCTATATAAATCTATTTACAATGCCTAAAATTGACAGCCAATTAACATCTGCCAAATACATCTACCATCAAAGAACCAAGAAGAAGACATGTAGCTTGGACAACATAGTGAGACCTTGTCTCTAAAAATAAAATTAGCTGGCCATGGTGGTAAAAGCCTGTCATCCCAGCTAGCTGGGAGGCTGAGGCTGGAGATCTCTTGAACCCAAGGAGTTCAAGGCTGTGGAGAGCTATGATTGTGCCACTGAACTGCAGCCAGGGCAAACGAGTAAGGCTCTATCTCCAAAATAATACAAGATATGCACCCATCAGAAAAATAGCATTTTTAAGAGCAATTAAAAGAAAATAAATCCCAGATATTAAACAAACATACAAAGAGAAATTTAAACTCATTACTAATCAGGAAACTGCAAGTAAAATGAGATGTTACTGTAAATCTATCAAATTGACAAAAGTTAGAACACTACATAATATCAAATGTTGCTAGAATGAGGAGATATGGGTGCACTCATGCATTGTAAGAGGGTCTGTAAATTAATGATGCCATTTTGGAAAGCAATCTGGCAGTACTTAATCAAACAGTATATACATACCTTATGACTCATAAATTTCACTCCTGCAAATAACTCCCAGAGAAATCATCACACAATTCTATAAGAAAGCACATAAACGAATTTTATCAGTGATTTTGTTGCGATGGATGAAGTTTGGGTAATCTAGGTGTTCATAATCTAGGGTGATTTTATATACATATGGCAATATGATAGAGTGATAAAGACATTGTGCTAAGCAAAAAAAGGTAAGAATCAGGAAAAGATATATAATATGATACAATTTACATAAATTAGAAATTCATGTAGGAAAATTCCAATAAAAATTTTGCAAGAATGTATACTTAGGCAACGCACTAGAATGGAGGCAGGATGAAGATGAAGGGTAGCAGTAATCTGAGTATGAAGGGAGTTCTAGACGGAAGTATAAAACAGAGATGCAGTTGGTCAGATTAATAATACAAAAAAGAGACATCAGGAAAAAAGGGCATTTGATTAAAATGAATGATTACTTTCACCATCATCTGCAACCGAGACTAAAACAAATAAACAAATAGAAATTTAAAGCATGTTAAGAAAAAAAACAAGCAGAGAATGTAAAATTGAAGTATGCAGAGACATTTTGACTCAATAAACTTGCAGTATCTGCTTCAGTAAAAAATATCTTATTCACACAATTGAAAACAATAACAACAATGTATGTTATGATGATAAAGACATTCTAGGTATTGTTTTATTCCTCTTCAAATACAGTTTCTCATCATTATGTGAATATGATTACTGAATGTTTTTTCATTTTTATTATTTTAATAATTATTATTATTTAAAATGAACTTTGGGTTTTTTTCTAATTCAAGTTTACTTTATATTGATATATTTATAAAGCAAATTTAAGGACAGTCTCCAGAAATAACTAAAACTAGGAAAGTTAGCATCATTAAAATTTTCATCTCATCTCATTAGAATAATTTGACTTCAATAGGTTTTCAATGAAGAGTTCAATTATATAAAGGCCTGTGACTTTTTTGTTTTTAATCTTTTTTAAAATCTATCTATCAGCAAATATAACATTGTAATTAATTCCAAGAACATTTTAATTTACAGACTCAGATTCTATATCTTGCATCCCAATTTAAAAATCTAATATACCAATTTATATTAATGAAGATTCTTGGGACTAAAATATAACCTCATGCTTGTTATATATAAAAGCATTGACATTTCAGTCTCTGTGTTCATCTGATTTTCAAAATGGGTTCCAAAAGACAAATTATTCAATTTCCATTGTCATTAGACATGATTTTTTGCTGCTTATTTTGAATAATCTTCTAGTCTTTTACCAGTTCTGTACCAAATAGATGCAGAAAAGAATGTTACATATTAATAAAATTCTTAAATGTTTTTACAGGTAGTATTTGCTTCTAGAAAGGACTAAATGATGAAACAATGGCAATCCAACTGTCCTTTCCTCCTACCTGGCTATGAACATTTCATTCAGAAAAAGATCTATAGGTTTAGTTTAAAGGGCATTTAATAACTTGAACGAGTGATTTTTTTCAGCTACTTAGAGTATCAGTTGGCTGCCAATGAGATGACCGTCTGAAATACTGATAGCATCATAGAGGGTTGTGGACCTAGAGATGATGAATATTTCTATTCCTTCTTAACTTCTTGACCACTTTCTCTTCTCTGCCGTCTGTTCTTCTCTTTACCTTTGTCAATTGTTCTGTGATCCCATCTATTTAAGTCTGATTGTTCCTAGGCTTTATGGGCCTATTTATCTGTCTTTTCCTCATGGCTTTTTTTTTTTTTTACTTTCTTCCTTTTTTTCTCAATTTTCTTGATTTTATGATCATGCTGATTATTGTGTATATGTAAGTCAGATACGTAAACTTGTATGCGCTGCCTTCTTAAGCTTTCAAGTCACACTAAAATAATTTATGTCTTGATTAATGCATTTCAGGGGAAGAAAAGAAATTTACTTCTAATATACAGGCCACTGTAGACTGCACTAAATCATCCATTTTTATTGCTAACAAAACAGCTCCTTAAGCAGTTCCCTTCCTTCCAACCAAATTAGTTAGATATTTTAATCTAACAGTGTCAGTCCCACAAAAGATGTAGAGAATTGCAGACTCAGGCAATGAGTTTCACTTTTTTTTCCACTGCATTCTTGAGAAAATATATTGAATCTATCTTTTCTTCAAAATTCATTCAACAAATTGGAATTCATTCAAAAAACTTAGTGGCATTGCTAACAACTAAGTGTGCAATTGTCTCCCATTGATTCAACTTGAAGATCTGAGAAAAGGCAGAATTAATAAGGTAAATATAATAGTCAATATAATATTAAAATATTCTGGAGAAACAAATAACAGATTAAGGACAGTATTCAACAAAAAAATATGATGGTTCCCTGAGGAAGTGATCTTGACCTGAGATTACATATATGAACATACAAGGGTCAGGTGTATCTACTCATTCCTACCAAAATCTTCTCCATAGAGCAATAAGAGGAATATATTTAGGATTCACATGCTGTGTTCATTGACCCTAACTCCTCTAACTTAAAAATCTTTGGTGCTCAATCCATGGCTTTACCTGAAAAGCTCTTTGTTGACTACATAAATTCTCACTGCAAGATCTTTCCATATGTTCCTCACAGTGCCTGGAAACCTCTTCCCATATCTTTTTCCCTGAGCTGTTAAGTCATTTAGAACATCCTACATGGAAACGTGGGAGGCTGTATTAGTCTGTTTTCACACTGCTGATAAAGATATACTCGAGACTGGGCAATTTACAAAAGAAAGAGGTTTAATGTACTCACAGTACCATCTGGCTTGGGAGGACTCACAATCATGGTGGAAGGTGAAAGGCACATCTCACATGGCAGCAAATAAGAGAAGAGGACTTGTGCAGGGAAACTCTCTTTTTAAATTCAACGTATTTTACAACATTTACAATCATTTTCCCATAGTAGAGATTTATGGTAAAGGAAGATCTCACAATAAATCTGTCTCTCCCAAACTATCTGATCTCATGAGACTTATTCACTATCATGAGAATAGCATGGGAAATACCTGCTACCACAATTCAATTATCTCCCACCAGGTCCCTGCACAACCTGTGGGAATTATGGGAGCTACAATTCAAGATGAGATTTGGGTGGGGACACAGCCAAAGCATATCAGAGGCATACTGGTTTCTAACAAATGTTTTGAGTCTTTTTTGAAGTGGAAAATACTTCCCAGTTAGATGCTTATTCCCAGTAATCCATGAAAAACAGTGTGTCCCTAAATTGTTGACATATGTAATTATTTACTTTACCAATATCTACAATTTCTTATGCTGGATATAAAATTATGTCTTTCTCAAAAGCACTTTCTTATCTCCTAGAGATGACCATAAGACTTGGTTTTCATAAAATTTATATCTATAAAACATGTTATGAGAGGAGAAATCACATTTTCTACCTGATGGTGCTTGTTCTGCTCAGATATATAATATCAAAGTTTTCTAACCTGATTCTGTATAAATGTATTCTATATTTGCTTGAAGTTAAGTATGAGGTAAAATTGCTCATGTTCATTATTCTATTTGTGATTTTGTCCAACAACCTTTTGCCTGTTTCATTCACCAAATGCCATACTGCTGCACAGTCTTATGAAGACAAATGAGTTAAAATACAGAAAAGTAGTTTTCAACGATTAAAAAGTTCTAAAACCATAAAAAGAATATTTTAGTAGTATGTCTATTCTCAATAAAGAATTGGTGTTATTCTTCTGAGACATAGAAGCAACATTTGTGTTTTCTCAGTTTTTTGAGAAATTTACACAAGCAAGCCAAGCTTCCATGGCGTGAATGTGAATTATTTTTATTTATATTATTTGCTTGCCGAAAGTGTGAATAGGCATTTATAAAAACAAAAAGCTTTCTTATTCTTATTTACTTTTCTTTTTGCAAATTCACCATGTTCTGTGCACTATGAAAAATTATATTTTTGCTGTCTTACATTTGATAAAATCTTGCAAGAATTTAGAAAATTAAGAAATGGTTCTATATGTAAATGGAACAAATGGCTTGCTTCCAAACACATCTTCCCATAGGGCTGAATAGCAATTTAATTTTGAAAATATTTGAAAAAGTCCTTTCATTTAAGCCATGTTTCTTTTAGATATTCCCTTCATTGAATGACTTTGAAGCACCACAGAGGAAAAGAGACCTAGTGGATAATATGATTTGTCAAATGTGTGCATTGTGGGGCCTCATATGAGGTGAACAATATGTAAGAATGTGTGTATAAGTGTGTGTGTTTGTATACACACATATAATTTTTCATGAGACTGGTTTCTACTAGGTACCTTCTACATAAACTTTACCATTTTCAAACTGTTAAAATAATTAAATTGATTTAAATAATCATGATTATTAATAGTATGATCAATAAATAATACAAACAATAGGAATATGAAACTAACTCAGAAATTCCACTAGGTCTAAATATGGGCACTTAACATGCTTACTTACTCTTAGTCTTTTTTTTTTTATATACTTTAGGTTCAAGGGTACATATGCACCATGTGTATGTTTGTTACATAGGTATACATGTGCCATGTTGGTTTGCTGCACCCATTAACTCATCATTTACATTAGGTTTTTCTCCTGATGCTATCCCTCCCTCTGACCCCAACCCCACGACAGGCCCCGGGGTGTGATATTCACTGCCCTGTGTCCAAGTGTTTGCATTGTTCAATTCCCACCTATGAGTGAGAACATGCAGTGTTTGGTTTTCTGTCCTTCTGATAGTTCACTCAGAATGATGGTTTCCAGCTGCATCTATGTCCCTGCAAAGGACATGAACTCATCCTTTTTCATGGCTGCATAGTATTCCATGGTGTATATGTGCCACATCTTCTTAACCCAGTCTAACATTGATGGACATTTGGGTTGGTTCCAAGTTTCTGCTATTGTGAATACCGCCACAATTAACATACGTATGCATGTGTCTTTATAGTAGCATGATTTATAATCGTTTGGGTATATAGCCAGTGATGGGATCACTGGGTCAAATGGTATTTCTAGTTCTAGATCCTTGAGGAAGCGCCACACAGTCTTCCACAATGGTTGAATTAGTTTAAACTCCCACCAACAGTGTAAAACCGTTCCTATTTCTCCACATCCTCTCCAGCATCTGTTGTTTCTGGACTTTGTAATGATCGCCATTCTAACTGGTGTGAGATGGTATCTCATTGTGGTTTTGATTTGCATTTCTGATGACCAGTGATAATGAGCATTTTTTCATATGTCTGTTGGCTGCATAAATGTTTGCTTTTAAGAAGTGTCTGTTCATATCCTTTGCCCACTTTTTGATGCAGTTGTTTGTTTTTTTTCTTGTAAATTTGTGTAAGTTCTTTGTAGATTCTGAATACTAGCCCTTTGTCAGATGGATAGATTGCAAATATTTTCTCCCATTCTGTAGGTTGCCTGTTCACTCTGATGCTAGTTTCTTTTGCTGTGCAGAAGCTCTTTAGTGTAAAGAGATCCCATTTATCTATTTTGGCTTTTGTTGCCATTGCTTTTGATGTTTTAGTCATGAAGTTTTTGCCCATGCCTATGTCCTGAATGGTATTGCCTAGGTTTTCTTTAGGGTGTTTATGGTTTTAGGTCTAACATTTAAGTCTTTAATCCATCTTGAATTAATTTTTGTATAAGGTGTAAGGAAGGAATCCAGTTTCAGCTTTCTACATATGGCTAGCCAGTTTTCCCAGCACTATTTGTTAAATAGGGGATCCTTTCCCCATTTCTTGTTTTTGTCAGATTTGTCAAAGATCAGATGGTTGTAGATGTGTGGTGTTATTTCTGAGACCTCTGTTTTGTTGCCTCATTCTATGTATCTGTTTTGGTACCAGTACCATGCTGTTTTGGTTACTGTAGCCTTTTAGTATAGTTTGAAGTCAGGTAGTATGATGCCTCCAGCTTTGTTCTTTTGGCTTAGGATTGACATGGCAATGCAGGCTCTTTTTTGGTTCCTTATGAACTTTAAAGTAGTTTTTTCCAATTCTGTGAAGAAAGTCATTGGTAGCTTATTGGGGATGGCATTGAATCTATAAATTACCTTGGGCAATATGGCTGTTTTCACAATCTTGATTCTTCCTATCCATGAGCATGGAAAGTTCTTCCATTTGTTTGTGTCCTCTTTTATTTCATTGAGCAATGGTTTGTAGTTCTCTTTGAAGAGGTGCTTCGCATCACTTATGAGTTGGAATTCTAGGTATTTTATTCTTTTTGTAGCAATTGTGAATGGGAGTTCACTCATGATTTGGCTGTCTGTCTGTTATTGGTGTATATGAATGCTTGTGATTTTTGCACATTGATTTTGTATCCTGAGACTTTGCTGAAGCTGCTTATCAGCTTCAGGAGATTTTGGGCTTAGACAATGGGATTTTCTAAATATACAATTATGTCTTCTGCAAACAGGGACAATTTGACTTCCTCTTTTCCTAATCAAATACCCTTTATTTCTTTCTCCTGCCTGATTGCCCTGGCCAGAACTTCCAACACTATGTTGAATAGGAGTAGTGAGAGATGGCATCCCTGTCTTGTGCCAGTTTTCAAAGGGAATGCTTCCAGTTTTTGCCTATTAAGTATGATATTGGCTGTGGGTTTGTCATAAATAGCTCTTATTTTCAAATATGTTCCATCGATACCTAGTTTATTCAGAGTTTTTAGCATGAAGAGCTGTTGAATTTTGTCAAAGGCCTTTTGTGCATCTATTGAGATAATCATGTGGTTTTTGTCGTTGGTTCTGTTTATGTTATGGATCATGTTTATTGATTTGCATATGTCGAACCAGCCTTGCATCAGGGATGAAGCCTACTTTATCATCGTGGTTAAGCTTTTTGCTGTGCTGCTGGATTCGGTTTTATTGAGGATTTTTGCATCAAAGTTCATCAGGGATATTGGTCTAAAATTCTTTTTTTGTTGTTGTTGTGTCTCTGCCAGGCGTTGGTATCAGGAAGATGCTGGCCTCATATAATGAGTTAGGAAGGAGTCCCTCTTTTTCTATTGCTTGGAATAGTTTCAGAAGGAATGGTACCAGCTCCTCTTTGTACTTCTGGTAGAATTCGGCTATGAATTCATCTGGTCCTGGACTTTTTTTGGTTGGTAGGCTATTAATTATTGCCTCAATTTCAGAACCTGTTATTGATTGGTCTGTTCAGAGATTCAACTTCTTCCTGGTTTAGTCTTGGGAGGGTGTATTTGTCCAGGAATTTATCCACCTCTTCTAGATTTTCTAGTTTATTTGCACAGAGGTGTTTATAGTATTTTCTGATGGTAGTTTGCATTTCTGTGGGATCAGTGGTGATATCCCCTTTATCATTTTTTATTACATCTATTTGATTCTTCCCTCTTTTCTTCTTTATTAGTCTTGCTAGTGGTCTATCAATTTTGTTGATCTTTTCAAAAAACCAGCTCCTGGATTCATTGATTTTTTGAAGGGTTTTTTGTGTCTCTATCTCCTTCAGTTCTGCTCTAATCTTAATTATTTCTTGCCTTCTGCCAGCTTTTAAATTTGTTTGCTCTTGCTTCTCCAGTTTTTCTAAATTGTGATATTAGGGTGTTGATTTTAGATCTTTCCTGCTTTCTCTTGTGGGCATTTAGTGCTATAAATTTCCCTCTACACACTGATTTAAATGTGTCCCAGAGATTCTGGTACGTTGTGTCTTTGTTCCCATTGGTTTCAAAGAACATCTTTATTTCTGCCTTCATTTCGTTATTTACCCAGTAGTCATTAAGGAGCAGGTTGTTCAGTTTCCATGTAGTTGTGCAGTTTTGAGTGAGTTTGTTAATCCTGAGTTCTAATTTGAATGCACTGTGGTCTGAGAGACAGTTTGTTTTGATTTTTGTTCTTTTACATTTGCTGAGGAGTGCTTTACTTCCAACTATGTGGTCAATTTTGGAATAAGTCTGACGTGGTGCTGAGAAGAATGTAAATTCTGTTGATTTGGGGTGAAGAGTTCTGTAGATGTCTATGAGGTTTGCTTAGTGCAGAGCTGAGTTCAAGTCCTGGATATCCTTGTTAACCTTCTGTCTTGTTGATCTGCCTAATATTGACAGTGGGGTGTTAAAGTCTCCCATTATTATTGTGTGGGAGTCTAAGTTTCTGTGTAGGTCTCTAAGGACTTGCTTTATGAATGTGGGTGCTCCTGTATTGGGTGCATATATATATAGGATAGTTAGCTCTTCTAGTTGAATTGATAACTTTACTATTATGTAATGGCTTTCTTTGTCTCTTTTGATCATCATTGGTTTAAAGTCTGTTTTATCGGTGACTAGGATTGCAACCCCTGCTTTTTTTTGCTTTCCATTTTATTGGTAGATCTTCCTCCATCCCTTTATTTTGAGCTTATGTGTGTCTCTACACATGAGATGGGTCTCCTGAATACAGCACACTGATGGGTCTTGACTCTTTATCCTATTTGCCAGTCTGTGTCTTTTAACTGGGGCATTTAGCCCATTTACATTTAAGGTTAATATTGTTATGTATGAATTTGATCCTGTCATTATGTTAGCTGGTTATTTTGTTCATTAGTTGATGCAGTTTCTTCCTAGCATCAATGACCTTTACAATTTGGCATGTTTTTGCAGTGGCTGGTACTGGTTGTTCCTTTCCATGTTTAGTGCTTCCTTCAGGAGCTCTTGTAGGGCAGGCCTGGTGGTGACAAAAATTTTCTTAGCGTTTGCTTGTCTGTAAAGAATTTTATTTCTCTTTCACTTGTGAAGCTTAGTTTGGCTGGATATGAAATTCTGGGTTGAAAATTCTTTTCTTTAAGAATGTTGAATATTGGCCCCCACTCTCTTCTGGCTTGTAGAGTTTCTGCTGAGAGATCTGCTGTTAGTCTTAAGGGCTTCCCTTTGCGGGTAACCCAACCTTTCTCTCTGGCTGCCCTTAACATTTTTTCCTTCATTTCAATCTTGGTAAATCTGACAATTATGTGTCTTGGGGTTGCTCTTCTTGAGGAGTATCTTTGTGGCATTTTCTGTATTTCCTGAATTTGAATGTTGGCTTACCTTGCTAGGTTGGGGAAGTTCTGCTGGATAATATCCTGCAGAGTGTTTTCCAGCTGGGTTTCATTCTGTCTGTCACTTTCAGGTACACCAGTCAAACGTAGTTTTGGTCTTTTCACATAGCCCCATATTTCCTGGAGTCTTTGTTCGTTTCTTTTTACTCTTTTTTCTCTAAACTTCTCTTCTCACTTTATTTCATTAATTTGATCTTCAATCGCTGATACCCTTTCTTCCACTTGATTGAATCGGCTATTGAAGCTTGTGCATGCATTATGAAGTTCTCGTGCCACGATTTTCAGCTACATCTGGTCATTTATGGTCTTCTCTACACTGTTTTTTATAGTTAACCATTCATCTAATCTTTTTTCAACGTTTTTAGCTTCCTTGTGATGGGTTCGAGAATCCTCCTTCAGCTTGAAGAAGTTTCTTATTACTGACCTTCTGAACCCTACTTTTGTCAGCTCATGAAAATCATTCTCCATACAGCTTTGTTCCCTTGCTGGCGAGGAGCTGCGATCCTGTGGAGGAGAAGAGGCTCACTGGTTATTAGAATTTTAAGCTTTTCTGCTCTGGTTTCTCCCCACCTTTGTGGTTTTATCTACCTTTGGTCTTTGATGTTGGTGACCTATAGATGGGGTTTTGGTGTGGATATCCTGTTTGTTGATGTTGATGCTATTCTTTTCTGCTTATTAGTTTTCCTTATAACAGTCAGGTCCCTCAGCTGCAGGTCTGTTGAAGTTTGCTGGAAGTCCACTCCAGACCCTGTTTTCCTGGGTATCACCAGCAGAGGCTGCAGAACAGCAAATATTGCAGAACAGCAAATATTGCTGCCTGATCCTTCCTCTGGATGCTTCATCCCAGAGGGGCACCCACCTGTATGAAGTGTCAGTTGACCCCTACTGGGAAGTGTCTCCCAGTTAGGCTACACATGGGTCACAGACCCACTTGAGGAGGCAGTCTGTCCGTTCTCTGAGCTCAAACACCATGCTGGGAGAACCATTGCTCTCTTCAGAGCTGTCAGACAGGGATATTTAAGTCTGCAGAAATTTCTGCTGCCTTTTGTTCATCTATGCCCTGCCCCCAGAGGTGGAGACTACAGAGGCAGCCAGCCTCACTGAGCTGGGGAGGGGTCCACCCAGTTCAAGCTTCCTGGGCTGCTTTGTTTACCTACTCAAGCCTCAGTAATGTCAAATGCCCCTCCCCCTGCCAGGCTGCTGCCTCACAGGTTGATCTCAGACTGCTGTGCCAGCAGTAAGCAAGGCTCCAACGGGCTTGGATTCTGCCCAGCCAGGCATGGGATATAATCTCCTGGTGTGCCATTTGCTAAGACTGTTGGAAATGCACAGTATTTGGGCGAGAGTGTCCTGGTTTTCCAGGTGCCATCTCTCACAGCTTCCCTTGGCTAGGAAAGGGAAATCCTCCAACCCCTTGTGCTTCCTGGGTGAAGCAATGCCCCACCTTGCTTTGGCTCACCCTCCATGGGCTGCACCCTCTGTCCAACCAGTCCCAGTGAGATGAACCAGGTACCTCAGTTGGAAATGCAGAAATCACCTGTCTTCTGCATTGATCACGCTGGGAGCTGCAGACCAGAGCTGTTCCTATTTGGCCATCTTGGAACAGAACCCCACTCTTAGTCTTATTCTCTACCTTACTCCAGGTAAAAGCAAAATTTTTACTAGAAATTCCTGTTTGTTGTCTTTTTTCTATAGACCCAATAAAACATTAATTGGACTTCAAAATGAAGTAGCACTTCCAAATGCAAAACCTAAAATAATCTAAATTTCTCTCTTTTGGGAACTAATTACATTAATTACTATATTTTTATATAATTGCATATTAGGGCAATAATTTTAAAAGCAGTTACAAACCTTTAGGTAAAATATAGTCCTATTTCTAAACAGTGTAATAAGGATGCATATTTGTATGGAAAATTTCCAAGAGCATTTATTTCAAATGTCAATGGTGTATATTAACATAAATAAATATTGGGCTGTGGGTGATTTTTTAATTTCTATATAATAAACATCCATTTTATATATGAGAATAACATCTTGATATTTCAGATAAACATGCTTACTAATTTGGATTTTGTGACGGTTTTAGCAGCCATAATACACATATATATTGTGCTAACCAGCTTGAGGTCTTCAGGAATACACCAGAAAATGATTTATTGCATTAGATAACTAGAGATGCATTCTAATCAGAAATCTGTGAACATATTCTTTTGGGTCAAGAGCAATCTGGGTTCATTCACGTGGCCTCAAGAAATATAACAGACAGCATCCCGTCTCCTTTATAAGTCTCTGAAATCACACTTAATACAAAGAAATAATATCATTAGTGCCTACAAGAGGAAAGTAGTATTCAGTTTCGTAAGACTTAAGCATTTTCAGGCAAATAAAAAAAATAGTGTTTTTCACCTACTTCTGTATCAGTACTTTAAAATTGATGTGGAAAAGCTGGACCTCTTGAGAGAAATGATAGCAATAAGTAGATTTTCAAACCTGCCATAGGAGGTAGAGTTGAGGTAAATTGTGATATGTAGCATGGGGAAGCATGGATTTGAGAGATAAATGAAATCCTGAGATGCCAGAAAACATGTCAGAGAAAGACACATTGCATGAAATCTGATTGTTCAGATGTTACCAAATGGGAGAGAATTATGGATGATTGACTGAAACAAAGACAGATCTTTTAAAATAGTTAGAACAATCTAAAAATTAACTGGATGACCATTATTGATAGTACAATCCACATAACAATTTAATTTAAACTGAACCTGGGTGATGGGTTACTAGAAATATTTATAAATATTGATGAGTCAAGGGCAGATTTGACAGGATGGACTCTGAATTCTGTTTTAATTCTAAGGTGTGATAATTCCAAGGTAAACCAGTGCTATTGTTTGAATGTGTCCCCTCCAAAGTTCAGGTGTTACCAATATAATAGTATTGAGAGTTGGAACATTTAGAGGTGATTAGACCAAGAGAATTCCTTTCTCATGTATGGAATTAAGGTCTTTATAGAAGAGGTTTCATGCAGAGTTCTGTTGGCTTGCCCTTCTGTCTTCTGCCATGTGAGGATACAAAGTTCCTCCCCTTGAGAGAATGCAGCATGAAAGTTCCATTTGTCAGCCCTCACCAGACAACCAAACCTGCTGGTTCCTTGATCTTGAACTTCCTATCTTTGCAAACTGTAAGAAAATAAATTTCCGCTTTTTATGAATCGCCCTGTCTTGTGTATTTTGTTATGGAGCACAAACAGACTATGTGAGCCAGGGAGCCAAATAAAAAGCATTGGTCCATTTGTAAACATGTGTATATTCACGGAAATGTGTGTTTATGTGTATCTAGTGGAAGATTTTGAAGGTGGTGGGAGAGATGACAGCAGAAGTGAAAAAAGAAGATTATCATATCAAACACAGATGAGAAAAAATGTTTTCCTGCAAATTAATTTCTACTTAGATCTTTTATATCTTAATCTATTAGATCCTTTATACGTGTATAGCCTTATTCAAGTCTCTCTCCTCCAAAACTCAAGTCAAGATTCTGGAATGCTCACTCATATCAAGCCATTCAGGGATGGCTTTCTGCCACTGCCTGTAAACATTAACATGAGTAGGTTTCCTATCCCAGGGAGCTTGGCTCAGTCAGTTCCAGACTCTTCCACCTGTGGTCTGTGCTCAGGAAAATAGGAAGCTTCTCACAGGGCACACCTGCATCACCCTGTGTCCTACTGGGTTCTGGCTAATCTGTTGTGATACTAAAAAAGGCTGGGCTTCATGCCCACTGCTCCTGAGATGTTCAGACATCTCTGGAGGCTTTCTGCACCCACAGCAGCTCTGTGGGGAAGCAGGGCACAGATGCAATCCTAATGCAATCCTGAGGGAGTGTCTTTCTAGTTAGAAGGAAACTCTTCCTTCTCTTCCACTTTTGGTTAATATTTTTTTTTCTGTTTCCTGTATTGGTCTTCCCCATGCTTTTGAATGAGATATTTTGTCTACCGGTACTAATGAATCCTCTTTTCTCCCTGGGACTTAATCTTTTTTATAATAAAGCTGGGAAGTCTTATAGGAGTTTCAGCATTTTAGCCTGGTACCTCCATTTCTTGAGGCAATAAAAACAAGCTGACCACTTGCTTAAATAGAGACAAGAGAATGGGAAAGATGCAAGGATTACTAAAAAGACTAATGTCTCAAAATATTACCTTTTTTTGGTAATGAAACTGCCATAATGGCATAGACACATTTTTAGGTAGAAGACAGCAGTGAATTAGGATTCTGGAACAAGGAGCTTAATAAAGCCCCAGAAATAAATTTCTTAAATGAAAATTTTAAGAACGCAGATTAACAGTTGATTGTACAAATGACAGAAGAATAGGTTTTACAGCTGGGATTGGTTACATAATGCCAGGGTAGTGGAACTAAAATGATAATGAGTGTGCTATGAGATGACAAGTTGAGTCATCTTCACTATGCTCTCCAGAATAGCTATAGCCTAAGCAAAACGTCTTGACCCTTAGGTCATTCTCCATTTTACTCCCTGCTTTCTAAATCACATATGGACAAGCCTCCCTGTCGCTGGAAGTATCTTCATCAACTTACCTTCAATATGGCTGGTTGTAAATTCTTCCAGCACATATCAGCAACAGAAGGATATGTCAGAACTTTTTTCACACAGCAGATATTGATGAGCCATGATCAGCAGGAAGCCACTGATAACCATTTTGAAAACTGCCATTGCTTTCGATAATAATTCTGTCATCATAATAGCTACAAATCCCCTACAAGTATGCAGTTATCATGGTTGGGGGGATTCTGGAAATGTAAATTGGGCCGTTTACCTTAACGGGGTATGGGGTATAGTTGTCATGGCAGAAATCCATATCCCTCTGTCAAATTTATAATCCTCTTCTTCTAAGGTAATAGACTTCTCTTCTATGTTAAATAAATGACAGTCTGATTTTAAGTGATAGATATAGATTACATTTCTTATTCTCCTTTGCAGCAAAGCAAATTTATATAACATCCTGAGAACAGAATATAACTACAAATGATATATACAGATTCTGGTAAGAGTACTTAAATATAAAAGGCTTATTTATATTTCCTGACTTTTTTCCTGCCTTGTTTGTTAGAATGCAGATGTAATGGATGGAACTGAAGCACTTATTTTGGTCCGTGAGGTTAAAGCTGGCTTTAAGGATGATAGAACACTTAGAAAAAAAGGAAACTATGTCACTAATATTGTTGGAGCCATCATTTCAGTCATAGAGCCTCTATTTGGATTTTTACTTGAGAAATAGACTTGTGTTTTTTTAAACCACTCTAATTAGCTTTTTTAACCTTTATAGTCAAATCTAATCCTAACAAATACAGTAATCTATGAAGAATCCAAAGTCTCATAGAACTTTACCCTCAATAATACCTCTGAAAATAATCTACAACATAAAATATTTGTGGAGCTAAAATACATTAATGTCAACTTAGAAGGTATGTTGTTGCCATAGAATGATTTATACAATATCATCCAGTAAGCATTTCTATCAGAAAATAATTGCGTCTCGTTTAAATAATTTTAATAATTTAAATTCAAACTATATAGCTTAAGAAAAAATACACTTCAACTAGTTCTCCAAGGTATTCAAAATCACTTTAGAGAAAACAATGACACTCTTAAACATTGTCCAAAATATATTTTATTTGCTAAGGAAATTCCATGATTATAGAAGCAAATATTTTCTAATAGCAAATTGTATTATTTAAGCTTAGTATTTTAGAATTTGAGAGACTCCCCTTTAGAGTTTAGACCTCTTTAGCCTTTACACATGACAAAATGCTCAGGCACTTAAAACATTAAACTCATTTTTCAATCTTACTCATATATGTAAGCTGGCAAACAGTGAATCTTACTGTGTGAACAACCCAGCTGTACAATTGTGCTGACTTTTTCGTAAATAAAATATTTTTATATTTCTAAGTATTTACAAAAATTTATTCTCTGATTAAGAGGATGCAATATCAATGTGATACTATATTCCGGAGTTCATTGTGCAACTAGCTTCAGTCAGAATAAAACCCTAATCACACACAGGAACAAAATTTTCATTAATTTCAATGAGGGTTTTTGCTACGGAAGTGCTTACTGACTTACCCTTAGCTTAAGCCATGTTCATTATTTATTTATTTTATTTTTCTGGGAACATAAAGCCTGCTTTTCCACATTTCATTCTTTTGCACTTACAGCTGTTTATCAATTAATAGAGAAAGTCTCCATTATAAACCACATCCTGGAAAGAATAAATTAGGTAAATTTGAATGACACAGGATGTTGTTAAGGATTTAACAGTACCACTAACATTGCTGGGTTTCACAATTATGGGCCTATAATGTTTTCTGTCTGTCTTCCTTGTTTGATGAAATGCTGGCATAATTTCAAAAGAAGTGTGTGTGTGTGTAAGGTGTGTGTGTGTGTTTGTGTAAAGTACACCTACAAACCTAGGGAAGGGAGAAATGTAGCTTCTTTCAGACTCATCACAGAACACAGAGCAAGAGTATTTATGCCTCTAACAAATCCTACATGATTCTCATTTAGTACCTCAACATGTATGACGTCCATGCAGCTTGATTCCTGGGATGCAAACATTTTGTGTTTTAAAATAATTGTTTGACTTTATTTGGATGACATTGGCTCTCAATGTAAAAGAACAAGTTTCATCTGCTTGATTTAATATGAAGTGATATAGGGCTGGAAAGGAATTTCTTAGAAATAATGTATAGTAACAAAGACACCGTGACAGATAAGGAGAAGTTAGTCCTTGGAAAGGAGCCAATTTTAGAAGTTTGTGGAAAATACAGCATAACACTAAAGAGAAGTGTAGTTGCACTTAAAGCAGCAAAGTAATGACCTCCTACTTATTCAAAGATATTCAACGCATATTTTGAACTTAGGTCTTAATTTATTCATCATTTCTTTTATTCCTGCTTTTGAATTTAAAGACATAATTGTGAGCAATAGAAGGACTTGCTTTAGGGCTACCTTGAGTTTCAATAATCACCATTAGTTTTATCATTGTGTAATCCTGGGCTAATGTTAATTTCGAGTAAAGAAGGAAGAGTGGTTTGTTCCACACTAAAATGCGTTTCGTATTTAGTTCAGTTGAACTGGTTTTCTAAACCCTCAAGGTTTATTGTGTTTTATTTTGAAGGAAGGGGTCGATTAACTTGCTAAGAACTTTTCACAGAAACTTATTGCTAACCTTAATAATAGTCACTGAAGTTGGCAATCAAAAGAGAGGATGAAGGTGAGCAAAACTGCTTTGTCAGCATAGTAGTTTCATGGCTGATGTTGTTAAAATACTATGTAAAATGACCAAAATATAATTTCTGGGCCATACATTAAGAAAAAAATCTTTAAAAATTTTTAAACCATAATTTCTGTGTGACTTACTGCATTACAGATGTGCAAGTTTCAATTTTTCTTCCCTGCTCATGTTAATTCCACAAATTGGATGATGCTTACAAACTTGAATTATGCTTTTGTATATATTTTATAGTACATATATAACAGTAATGGATTTGAATTCTAGGAACTAAGTGATAATGGATTAATCTCTAAAGAGAAAACATTACAGATATTTTCATTTTCAAACTATCAGACCTAATGGGAGAGTTCACCCCTATTTTTGCTATAAAAGTATGTTCATTTTTCATTAATCTTCACAAAGAATTAATAAGAAAAGCTGATACAATAAAATTAATCAATGGGGGAAATAGTCAACTTTCTTATTATGGAAAGAACATTTAACATAAGATCCACTTTCAACAATATGTAGGTGTAAAATAGAATATTGCTAACCATAGGCACAATGCTGTACATTAGATCTCTAGAACTTATTCATCTTGCATAACTGAAACTTTATACCCATTGAATAGTAACTTCCTGTATTCCCCTCTCCTTAGCCTCTGGCAACCTCCATTCTACTCTCTGCTTTTATAAGTTTTACTAATTCATTAATACTTAATATCACACAGTATTTGTCTTTCTATGAATGGCTTACATCACTTAGCATAATGTCTTCTAAGTCCATGCATATTGTTCCATCTGGTGGAATTTCCTTCTTTTTTAAGGCTGAACACTATCCATTTGTATCTATATATCACATTCTCCTATTTATTCCTTTAGTATACATTTAGTTGTTTCCACAGCTTGGTATTATGAATAATGTTGCAATGCACATATGTGGGATATGTGGGAATGCACATATCACTTTGAGTTCCAAATTTCAATTATTTTGGATAAATACCTGAAAGTGGAATTGCTGGATTATACTGCAGTTCTATTTTTAATTTTTTGAGGAATCTTCATACTATTTTCTGTAGCAGCTGTACCATTTAACATTCTTATCAAAGGTGTTCAAGCATTCCAGTTTTTTTATATCCTAGCTAACTCTTGTTATCTTTTGTTTATTTAATCATAGAAGGAGAAGTTCGCTGGCAAACCAGCGAGCAGGACCACAAAAGACCCTAGGTCTGGCAGCATCTTGATTTTGGACTTCGGATCCTCCAGAACTATGATAAATAAATGTTTGTTGTCTTAGTCACTCAGTCTTTGATAATTTTTTATAGCACCCCAGACTCACTAAGACAATTAGTGATGTTCTGAGCATCTTTTCATATGCCTGTTGGCCATCTGTATGTCTTCTTTGACAAAATGGCAAAATGTGTATTCAAAGCCTTTCTCCACTTATTAACAGGGTTATTTATGTTTTTTTTTTGGTATTGATTTGTAAGTGTTCTTTACGTATTTTGAATATTAATCGTTTATCAGATGTATGATTTGCAAATATTTACTCCCATTCTGTAGGTTGTCTTTTCTGTAGGAAATATTAGACTATTTTTAATATAGAAAAATACATTTAATATGAGATCTATATTCAAAATTTAAGTGTGTAATAGAATAGTGTTAACTATGGGCACAATGCTGTACAGCAGACAGCAGACCTCTAGAGCTTATTCATCTTGAGTAACTTTGGTTCCATTTGGGGCCAAGTACAGTATTTGCCTGAATTAAATCTTAAATCATGCACTACATACACGTAAAAAATCTCCTAAGTCTAGACAGATGTTTATTAAAAATATTTAATTTGTCAATACAGTGCATCATTATTTAATGAAATAAATAAATATTGCAGTGCTATTTCCTTTACTTATTTTACAAAAATCAATCTGGAAAAGATGATTTAGTAATGATCATTCTTCATTTGCAAACCAAAGTTGACTAATTCATAATGGAAAAGTTGGCTAGAATTTAAGGACTTACAGGAGAAATTCATATGACTCAGTCTGCTTTTGAGTAAACCAAAAGATACAAAAAAGATTTGACTATCTTTTGAAATACCCTGAATTCAAGTTTCTTTTTTTCCCGGATTTGGTTCAAGAGGGATTATTCTGTTAGGAATGAGAGAAGGAGCCTGGAAAAAAACTTAAAGAAAGGCAGAACCTTTTTTGTTACCCATTAATGCTTTTTTAGAGTTGTTCATTTTTCTCTTCTATTGGTGTCACATAATATTTGTTTCACAATAAATTATGATCCATAGTACTATCAGTCGAGTCAGTTCTATTATACTGTTTGGCAGAAACCCAAAATAGGCAAACATAAATTTTTGGTTTCCATTAAAACTTTGAGAATATTTAAAGCTTCTTTAAGGACAACAGGAAAGACCTGCTTCTACACTTAAAATATATTTCAGTGACATCTAAATAAATGGTTTTCCATCTTATACTATAATTCTTTTAGAGATAAAATCAAAGAAAGTTGCAAGATACGCAGCCAGAATTCAAGTGGTCATCTGGGAATATCAATACCATTCGAACTATTCAAACACAGTAGCCCAGACAGACACACTTACTTCTACCATTCCAACACTTGACAGATCAAACCATGTGGGAATTTAATTTTAGGATCTTCGGTTTCAACATGATGCAAGTCTTGCTGAGACCTGCCAGGCAGGCATTGCTGAACTTTAGCTCTCATTTTAAATCCAACTGTATGCTTTAATTTCTTCTTTGACTCAGAAATTATTTTTTCTATTTATTTTTCTATCACATTTTTTTCTCCTGACATATTACAAAATTTTCAAATCCTCCATGAATCTTTTATTTTGTTTCAGGTAAGTATATTTGCTTCAGTTATCATCTGGTCATCCCCCAAAAGCACCAGAGAGTAATGAGAACCAATAATTGTGTAATATTTATGTGATTTAAAAGATTAATTTAACCTTAGTTCTAATTCTGGTGCTAATCTAACAGAATTTAAAGCACCTACAGTTGCCTCCCCAAACGTAAGAGAAAGAAGGAGGGAAAATCCCTTTAATCTAATCCCAGCAAATTTCCCTCTTTCAGTAAATATTCTGGGAACCTCATAAAGATTTGTAGAAAGCATTTTAGTATTTTGGGCCATTAATATCGATAGTCAAATTTTGTAATATTATAGGGCAAAGGAAAGATAAATAGAAAAAAAGAATACAAGTCCTCATTAGTATAAAATGATAGAGAATGGCTAATTTCATTGTCTAAATGAACCTCCATTTCTAAATTAAAGAAATATTATTATATTTTAAAAACAACAGTTTTGCTAGCCAAAGATTATCATAGTCAAATTAATTACAATGTTAAATTCACAATGAAATTTTATTTTAAAACTCAATTTGTCAGTTAAGGAGCAAAAGCAAGAGAATAAGTGTTATTACTTTATTTATGTTTTTCTTCTAGAAATGCCTGATCTATAAATATACTAATAAACTCTTAGTATATGTCAATGTTCTAATTAATACTTGATATTAAAAATTGATTACTATAGAATGCACTCATTTTCTTCTTATGAGATTAAATTTTATGGCACTACATTCCCTTGGTTTCCTCAAAAGTTTTTATAGAATGGAAGCAAAAGTGTTTTTGTGAAATCTGGGACATGTACTTCTATAAAATTATAATTTTTATTCTGTGCATATAGAAATCTTGATAACTGATATAATGATTTTATTATTTATAATGAATAATAAGTAATCTTGACAATTTATACCACCTTTGCACATTATGAGAATTTTAAAAACTCTTCAAAAATAAAATATGAAAAACATACATCTAGTAAAATAGTTTTTATTAAAAGTGTTTATTTTCTTTTTTTCCTCTAGTAATATGGTTTGCAACACTAAATATTATTTGACTAATATCTTCTGAATGTTATAGGTAGTCAGAAGTTTTTCACTGCTTATATATATGCATTTTATAGCTGAGGGTGGGAGAGTGGGGTGTAAGGTAAAAAAAATAGAGGAAGTTAGGGATAGCATCTTAGTTGAATAATAGAAAACATAATCATTTTAATAGTAAGAAAAAAGTAATTTTTAAATGAAATTAAAACCTTTAATAAACACCTCAGTAGCTAGAGAAAAATGTTACATATATATATATATATATATATATATATATATATATATACACACACACACATTTGCTTTTTATCTAAAGGTATGAACCATTCTGTAGAATGCAAGAGATGCAGGAGGATGGAAAATTACAGATAAAGACTGTCTTGTCAGAATATTCATCTTTTTTTCTAAAAAATATGGTGACAGCTTTCCTCCTACTTCCCTGACATTAAAATAATTTATAGATAATGAATAATAGTATAAAACTATAAATAGCCATGAGAATAGACATAATATATTCCAAGAATTCTAACTATATTATTGTACTGTGAACTTTTTACTGCTCAATTTGCACATTATGTTTCTCTAAATCTGTGAATGCCAACAATATGCTTACTTGTAATTTTGAAACTGCACTACAGTCATTGCTTTACAATATCTCAGAAGACAAATAATAGACTGCACTTTGCTTTGCTTTTATGATCATGTACTTTTAAAAGATGTATAATATTTACTCTTATACAATAGTATTTTTATCATGTCAAAATCGTTATTTTCCTCATTTTAAAGAGCTGTATTATGTTTCTCCTTTAATAAATTCTTTTCTCATTTTTTTCCCTGTTTTCTTTCTTGATCCAAGCAATAGTAACATATCCCACTTAGCTTCCTTAGAAAATGTAACTATATATCAAAAACACTTCTTTAGATTTTTGTCAAGATTCTTATCATTGTGTGTATAATTTTAAGTCAGTGGTAAAATATTAAATCTAGAAACATACTTAAGATTACCTAGGCCCAAACTCTTCCTTTACAAATCACAAAATTAAAGCACAGCAAAGTTAAATAATTCACCTATGATTATAGGAAAAGTTAAGGAAGACACCAAGTCGCCCAGATGCTTTCAGAAAATCTCAATCTTCTTAAAAAACTTACTTTGGGCACATTCATATTTAGCAGACTTTTGAACTAAATACTCTAAGGTGTCTTCTCTATTCTCTCTCTCACAACTAAGTCCTTGGTAAAACCAAAATAATATTTGAATATATTGGTGGCTTATAAGAAATCTTTATGAAGTTGTGATTTGGGGAGCACAGTGAGCTAAATACTGAAGTCTGGAATAGCTAAATTTGATATGGAAATATAAGGGTAGCCATATCTGTAATATTACATGTCTAACTGTAACATTAAACAAAAGTAAAAAGAAATGAGTAAAATTAATTTTAATAATACATTTTATGAAATCCAGTATATCCCAAATATCATTTCAACTGTATGACAGACATTATTATATCCTTTAACTTTTCATACTCTTATTTATAACTTAATCATTTTATCTTTCTGTGCTGTACCTTGAGTAACTTTTTTCTGAACTATTTTTGGTTTTAAAATTCTCCCTGCAGCTGACTCTAATGTTCATTAGATACTTAACTTACCCACTAATTTTTTATTTTTTATTTAGTTTTTGTTAAACTTTTATTTTCAAAAGTTCTTTTTGATTCTTTTTTATACATGCTTTGTTTCCACTGCTCTAAAGACATTTTTAAACTTGTTGTTTTTAAAGAAAATATTTTAGAACTGTGTGTGTGCATGTTTTATAATTCTTGTCTAACTTCTTTATGGGTGGGTTTCTGTTGCAGATACTTTGCTTTTTATTGCTTCTGGTACCTTGTCTTTACATGGTGTTTGGTTATTTTTTTATTTAATTGCCTTTTCAATGTTCTTAAGAAATTATTTGAGGTTGTAAAGAAGAAAACTTTCTGCAGAGAAGATCTGTGATTACTTCTTCTAAGTGTGAGGTGCCACTAACTGTCTAGGGTTATTTCACTTCAAGATCTGAGATTAGCGCTCCAAATTTACACTCTGGCTGCCTTATGGTTAACTTCTCAAGATGTGTTTTCTTTTTACTTGCTGCTTTGCTTAGCACTGAGAACTGTTGTTGTTGTTGTCCTATGGTATGCTGTTAGGAAGGAGGTTTATTTATTTATTTATTTTTCGTCTTCCTCTCGTAATGATGGTTTAACACTTTGGGGACTTGGCTTAATGTGGGCAGTGTCTACTATAATAGCTCCTTTCTTAGGCAGGCTCATAGGTTTGACTTTTGTCTCTCTTGCTTCGGAACTTTAAAGATCAAACTCAACATTTAAGATTGTTTTTTGGATTATCAACTTCATTATGTATAAAAGGCTTCAAGAATCCATTTCTTCTCTGATCATCAGCTTTCTCTTAATTTTTAATAAGTAATTTCAATTTTTTTACTATCTTGTCAGTTAATTATCTTAAGAATAATTGGAAATATACGTTTTTTGTCTAGTATTTGGAGTTGGCTTGGTGGGAACAATGCTCAGAATTGCCTATCTTATTATATTCCTGAAAATGGAAGTTCAGTGGAAGTTCTTATGTCTGTGAGTATGAGAAAAATCATTCTAATATTTTGAAAATAGTTGGACATTATTGTATAATTTCAGGCAAACAATTTCAATACTAAACAATTCCACAGGGGGATTTGTACAGGAATGTTTATAGTTACCTTATTTGTCCAAAGTCTAGTGGCACATTAATACCATATTGCAGGGGCTCTGTACTGAAAAATAATACTTAAGTTTTACAATAGTCATACCATGGAATATTAGACAACAATGAAAATGGACAAATTACTAATGCATTAAACAGAGTTTGTAAATCTTTGAAACATAATATTTCTCATTGAAGTAATTCTAAAAAGTCTAAAATAGGGTATGATTTTTAAGCTCTTAAGCAAGAAAACAAAAGACTGTATGGTTCATTGATACTAAATGGTAAAACATTAAAAATAACAGCATTAAAATTTAGGATATTTGTTATTTTTCAAAAGAAAAAACATGAATGGAATATTGTAAAAACACACCGATAGCTTCAAATATTGGTAATGAATATACTAGTTCTGAGTTTACATAGTGGTTTCAATGTATTTATTTTATTTTTATATTTTATAACTGTCATATATTTACTACGTATATAACTTACATTTATAACTTAAGCTCACACAAATACATGTATAATTTTGTAGATATCCACAATTGGTGATTCCCATCAAAAACTATTAACCCTAAACTATAGGGCTTTAGTGCCTTTCTGTGGCACCAAATAATTGAGCATGTGATGTAGTGACTTGACAATCCTGGTTTTACATAACTCTAATTGAATCTTATTTCTCAAAACCTAAGGATGCAGCTATGTGACTACACTGTTTTGGACTAGAGTTCCAATCTATTCTCTAATCAGTTTGGATACTACCCACTGCCGCATTCAGATGTCTGAATTCAAAATATATTCCATATTAGTCTGGTTATTTTTGGCTGATTATTTCAAGTATGGTTACACAGAGAAAGGGGAAATGAGATTTGATAACAATCTTTAAAACTGTGGCTCATCATATCAATTTATTCTATGTAATTCAAGCAAATCACTTTGGTAGGCTATATTATCATGTCAGTTAGCTCAAATGAACAGGTTCATGAAACAGTCTTTTGGATTCTGCTTACATTCTTGCTACATAAATATGGCTGTTGAAATTTATAAGCTGTTGAACTTTGTTAATATAAGCTGGTTGTTTTTCTAACATGATGAACAATTTACTAGAAAATCTCCATGCAACGAAGTGCAAAATTTACAGAAGATTTTGCCTACAATAAGGGCAACAGCAGCAGCAGCAGCACAGACCAAAATTGTACCTCCAATTACCCTAATCTGCTTCAAGCCAAAAATTAAAGAAAGGCATAGAGCCAGAATTTTATTTTATTTTTATTATTTATTTATGTTTTGCCTCTTGACTCTCTAAGGAACTTATTTTAAATGTTTCAAAAATAAAAAAGGAGAATCCATATCAAGGAAGAAAAAAATCTGTTTTATTATCTTGTTCTTGTTGATTCTACGTTATCCTGTCTGTAAAGAATCACTGAAATATTTACAAAATATTCCTCTCTTAAAAGGAATATGACAATGTATTTTTTTTAGGATTTTCCCTAAGAAGCATGACAGAAAAGGCATACATTGTTCAGATTGCACATAAAGTGGTTTCTAAAATGTATTCGTGTGTCCATAGGAAATAATCACAGATATCGGTACTTTGCTTTTTCAACATATAGACACATCCTCAGTTCCATAATAAATGTGTAAAATTTTATAGACATATATTTACATTTTTCCATCTATATTTTTATTTGAGAAGCAGCATATGTTATGTTTGCCTAAATGAGTTAAATTATATTTGAGATAAGTAGGGAAAACAGAAACAAAATAGAAAGAAGGAAAAGGCAATGTGAAGCATTGGTATGTCATGTTGTTTCTGTCAAACTAAAACCTCACTTAATACTACAGGAAGTATTGACTGTTTTGCAGGTGGTCCCATTAACTTTGGTAGCCAATTCTCTTTCGAGAGGGAACAAGTCTCCTAAAATAGACCCCCTAAATTGAATTGGTATGGGATACCTAAATATCTTGGTTGCCTTTGAAAACAGGTCTCCAGGGTAGCAGCAATGTTGCTGTACCACCAATTGAAAAATTCCAATTTACTTTCCTCTTGAGATCTGCTCACAGAATGAATGAGTTCACATCAAATTGTTATGATCAAGAAAGATATTGCTTGTAATAGTCTTTTCTGGTTTTAAAATGACTTTGCCAGGGTTGAGAAGTAATATAAACATCAATAATAAAAGAAATTGGAGGGGCTGAAATGATTCAAAATAAATCGTATATGACTTTGGTTAGAACTGATGAAATAAATTAACAAACAAAAGGTAGTAAATAAAAATACAGAACTACATGTGTGGACACAGTAATATAAACTTTTGGGTATATGCCTAGCTTTTCAAAATTCTGTCCGTTAGGTATATTTCCTTGTTGGAGGCATCTTTAAAAAAAACACGAAATGATTTTATGTGATTAGTAAAATTTCACTGTATTCTGTGGAAATCACACAGAATCTGGAATATTCAGCAGGCTTATTTCTTGAAAAATTGCAGACATTTTTTATGATAATTTAAATATCTAAATTTTGCAATGAGTCTTTCTAGTTAAAAGGATAAAGCCTAACTCATCTAGTTAAAAATGTTAGGCTGGGTGAGGTGACTCATGCCTCTAATCCCAGCACTTTGGGAGGCCGCGGCAGGAAGATTGCTTGAGCCCAAGAGTTTGAGACCAGCCTGAGCAATATGGCAAGGCCCCATCTCTACAAAAAATAAAAATAAAATAAAAAATTACGCAGGCATGGTGGCACGTGCATGTAGCCCCAACTACTTGGAGGTTCAGACAGGAGGATCACTTAAGCCCAGGAGGTTGAAGCTGCAAGTAAGCCGTGATCTCCCCACTGCACTCTCACCTGGGCCACAGAGCAAGACCCTGTCTCATGAAAATAAATAAATAAATAAAATGTTGATAGAGATACCTTCATCAATTACTTGTAAACATTCACACACACACACAAAGGAACATCTTTCTGATTTTTCACAGGAATAGCATACTGCAATAGTTATTTACCATAAACAATAAAAAAATACAGAAAATATATCAATACAATATAAAATCATGCAGCTTTAAAAAATTAGGAGCGGAAAGTCTTACATAGAGAATATTATATGATAAAAAGAAAACAGATGAAAATATAAAGAATAGCAGAGATGAAAAAAGACCTGGGTTAGACATTGAAACTGAAACTAAAATAGGAATAGCAGAATTTAAATCCACAGTTGAGATGATAAAGAAAAGCATTAATTGTTTAGGAAAATTGAGCTAATAATCTGGAGAAGAATGTTTTTAAAAAATCCATTAGAGTCTGAGAAAATGAAAAAGAGATGATCAATGAAAATTAACATGATTGATGTGAATGGAGAACAGATTGTGGAAGTTTCACTTACAGAAAGATGGCATCCTTAACAAACAGTGCAATTAAGTATATGAAAAAGGCAATAGACTGAATATGAATAATAAAACAATGATTTCAGTTTGGTAATAATGATAAGTGTGTACACTAGGATTGCCTTATAAGGTTAAGGTAATAAGAAGACTATCAATTTAGATAGATAGATATAGATATAGATATAGATATAGATATAGATATAGATATAGATATAGATGTAAGGAACTATACCACCAGGCAAACTCTTTTCTCTAGTGGGTGGGAGATTTTATTTTTAATTTTCCTATTTATTATATGTAGGTAATTATTATTAAAGAAACACTAAATAAAATATTTATAGCATGAAAAGCCATGCATTATGCTACACAGAGTGGGTAAAATCCAGTGGGCATAATCTGTTGACATTGCTGCTTTAATAAAATTCATGTGTCTAGTTGTGTCACATGTTACTAGTTTACTATATCTGTATTTTTATATTCTAAACAGACAGGCTACATCATAGCAGTACTACAGGAATAGTTGAACATGGCCATTTAGTCTCATCCATATGAACATTCAGTGGCTATTTCCCCGTGGAAACCTTTATATCCTACAAAGAATTAAGGAAAAATGAATAAAGACAGCTAAGATTATTTATCATCTGTCTATCTATCTATCTATCTATCTATCTATCTATCTATCTATCTATCATCTATCTATCTATCTATCCACACACATACAAATGACCACTGATAATCACAGACATTTAACATCATTGGTTATTCATACTATTAGGTCAATTGCTTTTATGAGATAATTACCTAATTGAGCTCCAGCTAAGTGATTTTGAGACTGGGGAAAGAGAATGAGAAGGCAATGAAAACATAAACAAAGAAAAATCTATGTCAGAATGATGGAACGTCTGTATTCTCAGAGTTTTTTTTTTTTACCTGGACATCCACTGACTATTTTGTTGTTGAGAATATGTACACTTGAGATAAGTTGTATCATTTTAGGTGCTTGAATAACACAGGCTCTCTAAGGCAGCCACATAATTCACCATACATTGACTTGAATTGATTTTAAAACATCCATCGGAAAGTTTAAGTGGCATTTCTGGGCCATGTTATGGACCTTTTTACTTATTGCCTATATGTAAATTTCTTGTTTTGAAAGACAGTAGCATTTTATATGGTTTTTGCCATCTGAATGATAAGTGCAATTTTGTACAATAAAAAGAATTGCTTTGAGGCAGTTGAGATTTAATTAAATTCACTGAGCTTTGTGATGAAAAAAAAAAACCACTACTCCAAAACGAGAATGCACACAACACATTTTTTAAACCAGTATTTGACTCCTCTCATACTTCACTATAAGCTATGACAGATTATTTGAAAAAAAATTTACATGCAAAGTGTATTAATTTTCACAACAGTTTGGAACTCATAGTTTGCATCAGTATTGTAGATTGTTCAGAGATGTATGGACTTCAATATTTAAAATTAAAATGTTTTAAATAATTTTCAATGTAGCACTTCTGTATTGTACCCTCCCAGTTTACTCTTAATAGCTATATCAACTAAATAAGTAAATACTCAAACATATGCTGCTAATTTGAGATGTATATGACTTATCTTTTCACTTGGCTTTAAAATCTTAAAGGATTAAGACAATACCTTATATATCTTCCTTTATCTTACTTGATGCTTATCATAGTATGATCCCTTGGCATAGGCTTTCTGATTAATTGACTGCTGTCAAGTTTTGGCTAATTATTCATCAAATTTTAACAGCTTCTTTCTTCAAAAAGATCAAAGATTTCTACAGAAAACTACATATTTATAGCATTTAGCACAGCAAAGTTGAAAATAGTAAATCCAGAGAACATGTAGAAAAAAAATCAGAAGAATGAAGAAGGGTAAATGATAAAATCAACTTAATACATCCTTATTGGTCACTTAATTTTGTGCATTAAACTGTATTACCAAGTCATTAGGCCATCAAAAATGATTTTATTTATGGGATATAAAGGGAGTAAATGTCTTGCCTATTGCCTAGGCCTCCTGGATTTTCTGTCTGGACTGGCATAAGTATGATTCATTATCAGCTTTAACTTTTGTCTCAGTTTATAATATTGTCTCAGTCCATTTTCATACTGCTGATAAAGCCATACCCAAGACTGGGCATTTTGCAAAAGAAAGAGGTTTAATTGGACTTAAAGTTCCACATGGCTGGGGAGGCCTCATAATTATGGCAGAAGGTAAAGAGGAGCATGTGACATCTTACATGGATGGTGGCATGCAAAAAGAGCTTGTACAGGGAAACTCCCGTTTTTAAGATTATTGAATCACATGAGACTCATTCCCTACCAATAAGAACAGCATGGGAAAGACCTGCCCCCATAATTCAATCACCTCCCACAAGGTTCCTGCCATGACATGTGAGAATTGTGGGGGTTAGAATTCAAAATGATATTTGGGTGGGGACACAGCCAAACCACATCATTCTGCCCCCAGCCCCTCCCATTTTTCCCTTCCTGACTGCCCTAGCAGAGGTTCTTCATGAGGGCTGTGATCCTGTAGCAAACTTCTGTTTGGGCATCCGAGAGTTCTCAAACATCTTCTGAAATCTAGAAGGAGGTTCCCAAACCTCAATTCTTGACTTCTTTGCACTCACAGGCTCAACACCTTGTGGAATCTGTCAAGGCTTGGGGTTTTCACCCTCTGAAGCCATGGCCCAAGCTCTACTATGTTGGCCCCTTTCAGCCACAGCTGGAGCAGCTGGGTCATAGTGCACCAAGTTCCTTAATTGCACACACCAGAGGGATCCTGGGCACAGCGCGGGAAACCGTTTTTTCCTCCTAAACCTCCAGGTCTTTGATGGGAGGGGCTGCTGTGAAGACCTCTGACATGCCCTGGAGACATTTCCCCTATTGTCTTGGGGATTAACATTTGGCTTCTCATTGCTTATGCAAATTTCTGCAGTCGGCTTAAATTTCTCCTCATAAAATGAGATTTTCTTTCTTTTTTTTTTTTTTTTGAGGCGAAGTCTCCCATTGTCACTGAGGCTGGAGTGCAGTGGCATCATCTTGGCTCACTGCAACCTATGCCTCCCAGGTTCAAGCAATTCTTCTGCCTTAGCCTCCTGAGTAGTTAAGATTACAGGCATGTGCTACCACTCCCAGCTAATTTTTGTATTTTTAGTAGAGGCAGGATCTCAGACTGGTCAGGCTGGTCTCAAACTCCTGACCTCGTGATCCACCTGTCTCAGCTTCCCAAAGTGCTGGGATTACAAGCCTTTTCTTTTCTATGGCATTACAATTCTCCAAATGTTCTGTTCTTTTGGTCAGGCTGGTCTCAAACTCCTGACCTCGTGATCCACCTGTCTCAGCTTCCCAAAGTGCTAGGATTACAAGCCTTTTCTTTTCTATGGCATTACAATTCTCCAAATGTTCTGTTCTTTTGGTCAGGCTGGTCTCAAACTCCTGACCTCATGATCCACCGGTCTCAGCTTCCCAAAGTGCTGGGATTACAAGCCTTTTCTTTTCTATGGCATTACAATTCTCCAAGTGTTCTGTTCTTCTATGCTCTGCTTCCTTTATAAAACTGAATGCCTTTAACAGGACCCACATCACCTCTTGAATGCTCTGCTGCTTAGAGATTTCTTCCACAAGATACCCTAAATCACCTCTCTTAAGTTCAAAGTTCCACAAATCTCTAGGGCAGGGGCAAAATGCCACCAGTCTCTTTGCTAAAACACAAGAAGAGTCATCTTTCTTCAGTTCCCAACAAGTTCCTCATTTCCATCTGAGACCACCTCACCCTGGACTATATTGTCCATACCTCTACCAGTATTGTAGGCAAAGCCATTCAACAAGTCTCTAGGAAGTTCTGAACTTTCCCACATTTTCCTATCATCTTCTGAGCTCTCCAAACTGTTCAACCTCTGCCTGTTTCCCAGTTCCAAAGTCACTGCCACATTTTTGGGTATCTTTTCTGCAGCCCCCATTCCTGGTACCAACTTACCCTATTAGTCCATTTTCATGCTGCTGATAAAGACAACCTAAGGCTGGGCAATTTACAAAAGAAAGAGGTTTAAATGGACTTAAAGTTCCACATGGCTAGGGAGGCCTCATACTCATGGCAAAAGGCAAGAAGGAACATGTCACGTCTTACATGGATGGTGGCAGGCAAAAAGCTTTTGCGGGGAAACTCCCATTTTTAAAACCATCAAATCTCATGAGACTCATTCACTATCACAAGAACAGTGCAGGAAAGACCTGCCCTCACAAGTCAATCACCTCCCACCAGGTTCCTCCCACAATACATGGGAATGGTAGGAGTTACAATTTAAAATAAGATTTGGGTGGGGACACAGAAAAACCATATCACCATGCAGTGGGTCACAGACAAACACTATGGTTCCACATGATGCAGATTTACAGTAGAATATGTGGGCAGGAAAATCTTAAAAGCATGGAATTGGTGGAATACAGAATACCTTGAATTCTCATTATCCCACATTGCAAGCCAGGCATAGATTGTCTGTATGTTAAAGTTTCAGTAAATGAGATCTACTATCATAATACTCTACAAATGTGGACAGAGGGGGAGAGAAGGGAGGAGAGGCAAGATAATGTCTACATGACTATCTAATAATAAGAATTCCCTGTTCAGAGAAGTATTCCTGTAGCATCAGTCTGTCCTAGGTAGCTAACTCAGATATACTGAGACAACTTTCTGCGAGGCTATTAGCACAAAGGGTGTGGATAGAAAGTGAATGTCTAGAATCATCCAGAAACAGATAAGAGAGCCGAGAAGTGAATATTAAATCACCAAGCTAAACTTTCTAGAGTAATGGAGTACTAAAGCAGCCATGACATTACATTTCTGTAAATCTCTATTCAGATTGTTTTGATAGCACACAATATTGATCATATGGATATTTAGTGGCATGTGATTCAGCCTCAGAGCCCAACTATCAGCCTCTCTGCTCTTGAGTCTAAGGGCATATATATTATAGTCAATGCAACGAGAAACCACTCTTGATTATATTCCTTCATAGCTTTATAATAGTGCATTTCCCTGTGCAGAGAAAAGACTAATGCTATGGTTGGAATGTGTCCTCCAAAGATAACATGTTAAAAACTTGATACCCAAGGCAGAGGTGTTGGGAGGTGGGACCTTTAAGAGGTATTAATGTCATGTGTGTCCCATTCTCATGAATGAATTAATGCTCTTATCATGATTGTGGTTTCCTTACATAATGATGAGTTCAGCATCCACTTGAACTTTCTTTTGCCCTCTCTTCCCCTTCTACCTTCTTCCATGGGATGAAGCAGCATGAAGGCCCTCTCAAGATGCCAGCCCCATAATCTTAGACTTCTTAGCTTTTAGAACTTTTCAAAACAAATTTCTGTGATTTATAAATTACTCAGTCTCAGGTATTCTTTTAGAGCAGCACAAAATGAATTATGACAAATAAAAATATTATTTCCTATTGAAATTAAAAGACTTGTTTGTATCTGTGAACATAATTAAGAGATTTCCAGGTTGCTTCATATATTTTTTAATTCTTTGTAGAAAAATGTTTGAGTAATTATGTTTTCTAAAATAAATATTATTAGATAATTTCAAAACCCTTTTTTACTTCCACTTCTATTCCATGTTTTCTTTGAGGACAATGTTTTATTATTATTATTGTATTCCATGTGACAGTGATTATTTAGAATTTGGGCAAGAGTCCTCAAGTAGAAAAACAGATCAGGGAAAGTTTAGTACTAAGGACTCTCTTCTATCTTATAGTGAGATATCTAGCTGATCCATTTGTTCTTATATTGGATTATTCTCATACAAAAGAAAAACATCAGAAGGGTGAATTGTAAAAGCTTCTTACCAGGCCTCTCATTCTCCTTCATTGCAAAGCAAGGAGACAATTTAAGCAGAGTTGGATAAAGACATCTTGGAGTAAATAGCTTAGTAAACATGTGCACAGTTACCTCTTCTATAGCTTATTTTCTCCTATGGTCTGCTCGTAGTGATTTAAGGAGCAAGAGTCAAAAGTAAAGATGTTGTAGTTGTTTCTATACCTAGATTAGTAAAAGTTTGGATTTGCATTTTAAAGTAAAATCTCTAGGGACCAGTTTATACACCTTTGTTCAAGTTAAATCCCACCTCCTAAGGTGTGGAATCATTGAAGTCCTTAGGTGTGTTATTCAATTGATGTGGTTATTTGTTTGTTTGTTCCAGAATGCCTTTTTTTGTCCCCATCCCACTCTCACTAACACAATGTCATACTCACTAGAACTGTTTCAAAGCCATTTCAAGTATATTCATAGAGAATGTAACATAATTGTAGATTGTTCACATGACTAAATGTGAAATAAAAATAATTAGTAAAGGTATTAGGGTTGTTGGAAATCTAAGAGAAAGAAAAGATGAGGGAAACTCTTTTATTCTTGCTTTCCTCAAGTCTAAAATTAAGAAATTGACACATTCTTTTATTAGATTTCTAGCAGTTCCATATTATACTATATAAGATGCATTTTTATGGGACATATTGATAAGAATCAATTGCTGTGCTGCTTGGAAATTAGAAACTTTCAATTTGCATTTGGGAACTGCAAGTGAAAAACAGCAAAATGTTTGAACACTGAGGTCTAGTCCAGTAGCCATTCCCATATCTATAAAAACAAGTATTTGAGGAAAAATGAAAATAAAATAATCATCAAACAATAGTCAAAAAGTATGCCATGAAGTAAAAAAATCTTCCTTTTGCTGTGAAAAACTGTTATATTTGTAAAATGGCAGAGATTTAAAAATATAGTGTTTTTGTACTTGTATACAAAATAATTTCAAGTTTATATGTATAAACTTTTAAAGTTTTTGATGATTTGCATATTATAAATTTAAATATTCAGATTTACAAGCTTAATCTCAGATTGAAATGCAATAAAAATTATGTACTTATAATAATTATAATAATGATATATTTTTATTTTTAGAAAAATATGTGCTCATGGTAAAAAATTGAAAGCATGTAGAAAAATAGAAACATACAATAAAATCTTGTAAAAATTATTGTAATCACTTTGACATATTTTTATCAGTTTCTAAATTTGTGCATTTGAAGTTATAAATGTTTCTACATATTACATTAAGATCAAATAGATGATACAGAATTGCCTTCTTATTTTTAACTGAAGTGTAAATCATAAGCATTATCCCATGCTATTAAATAGTGCTTAAGAATCTACATTTAATCATACTACATGTTTTATCTATAGCTCCACTAAAATACATTGAATTATTATCCGAACATTAGACATTTAAGTTGCTTATAGGTTTTTGCTGTTATAATTACATCATGATTTTCATCTTTTTACTAAAATGTTTGTCTAATTTTTTTTTCCTTTGGCTAAGGCTCTAGAAGAGAAATTACTGTATTAAAGGTTATGAACTTTTTACAGACCTCAGTATGTACTGACAAATTGCTTTCCAAAAAGGTTGTACCAATTTACACTCTCACCAGTACAGTAAATAGATGAGTCTTATAGTGCACTCATTCTAAATACGACTCTTAAAATGTTTGCAGATTTGGTAGTAAACCATACTAGCTGTTAGTGATTTCAATCTGAAAATTTGTGAATAAAGGAAAGATTGAAATATTTTCCATGGTTTTTATATATAATTTGTATTTTTTCTCTGAAATAAGTTCATGTCATTTTTATACTGCTTAAGTAATTATTTTAACTTGCATTAACAGTGTTGAATTATGATTATTTTAGTTTATATTTTTAAAAATACTACATAATTGTATTCTTTACCTTACAATATTCTTTTTGATAGATTTAATCATATACAGCAATTGTTTGATTCTTTAGTTTCTTCTCCATTCCTCAACATAGCTTTTATATTAGAAAATGTCTTCTGAATTGATAATCATATAAATATTTACCCTCAATTTTTTATTCACTTGTAGGTCCCTTATTATAAAATATGTTGATAAAATCTATCATTATTCAGCAATATAAAACACCAGATTTAAAGTACTTTATAGTCATACTCATTTATTTATTATCTAACATGTAGCACTTTGTAAGGTCTAACAGTTCATTTAAATTTCTAAGGAAATTTGTACCTATTGTAATTCAGTGTTTGAGATCTGTCAGAATTTCTTTAACCTGTCAGAAATTTTGATATGCTATAATAATATTGATACATTTTAAAAGAAAATATAACACCATATTCCCAGAATCAAAGCCTTTCATATAAAAAAGTAGAAAAGAGTCATCACATTAAGATTGTATTTGATTCTGTGGTTTTTCATTGCTGTACAAGTTTGTTGCTCTGCCATGATAGTCGTTACAAATTTCTGTAAGGTTATTTCGATCATTTGGGATTTGTATGACTTTCTGATATTTAGTAAAATGATTTTAGAATTGTACAGGTGATTATCCTTGAAATGATTATCCAACTGATACCAACGATTGGCCATTACTTTGTAGTTCATAAAAACTTGAACATCCATTCTCTCCACAATTTGTTCCATACAACAACAGCTCTGCGAAGGAGGCAGCTTACAACTACTCCATTAAAAAAAAAAATTCTGCTGATAAGAAAAATAAGATTCAAGATGGTGAATACCTTTCTTAAAATCAGAGTTAAAGTTGACAGAGATGGAGTTAAAAATGATTCTTGTCAGCCCAGATCCCATGTTCTCTGTTAAAATAACGTCTTAGCTTTCAATTATCAAACTTTCTTGTGTCAACAAAGAAACATTTGGATGTAACTTTAGTTATCATAGGAAAAATTGGAGTTTAGATATTAGAGTGCTAACTGCTTTGGAGGTACAGCAGATAGAGTAAATTGCATATAAATTTTTAAGTTTGTTTATGCCAAAATATCAATGTAGTTTCCTTAGATAAAACATTTTTAAAAAACAAATTTATGTGTAAAGACACAGGCAAACAGATTAAATTAATAATAATTCGGAGAATGCTTGTGCTCAGGGCAAGATACCCAAAAGTATGGTGCTGTGGCATGCTGAGTACCTTGAACTGAGTGCCTCAGAAGTGAGATCTTTCTACACTTCTCCTGCCCTCCTGCTTCTTTTTCTTCTCCAGGCAGGCCATACAAACTAGAACTCCTCTTCTCAAGGTGGGTCATAAAAACCAGAACCCCTTTTTTCCAAAGCCAGCCATAAAAACCTAAAAATATTTGTCTAACCTCCTCCCACCCTTCTGTGTAAGAGCTGGTTGTAATGAAATTCTCTGACCTACCTTGTCTAATGGTAGGTCATAAGACCCTCATTCCAGAAGGGGTCCTGCCCTACACCTCATAGGAAGAAATGCCACACGGACAGGTTAAGAAGAATGTGAACAAATAGGCCTTGCTGGGTTCCTCCGCTCGGTCTGTTTCATCAAAGAATACAATCGGCATTTCCCACCCCCACCCGCCACCACCCCGCAGTGCCTTTGGCTCTTCCTATCTCAAGGTTCCTGTGTCACATGAAACTCTGATTAAATAAATCTGTTACGCTTTCCTCCTGTTAATCTGTCTTTGTCAACTTTTATTTCAGACCTAGACAGCAACCCTAGGAGGGTAGAGGAAACTTTTCCCCCTAACAGGAGGAAATCTATGTATAAATATTCTTAAACTTGGTGATTCAAGTTATAGCAAATTCCTCCTTGTAATGTTAAATTAGATAGTGCATATGAAGTTCTTATCACACAGTAAGTGTTGTGATGTTTTTGTTGATGATGATAATTCCACAGTTTGTGAAACACACGGGTTTCACTTCTTGAACCAGGGCAGATAGATGTTTGTGTTGTGGGTTTTCCTGGGTTTATTTATATTTCACTCAGAGAAACTGTTCTTAGTGACTCGCAGACAAATTAACTCAGTGCTGTTGAATAAAGACTTTCTCTGTGAATGAAACCCAGAAGTAGTCATTACCTAGGACAATTCTGTGTCATTCAAAACAAGCTAGGATGGGGAAGCCATGAGATAGCAATAGGAATTGGCTTCTAAAAAGTGCTAGTAAGATGGCCTGAATAATTTATTGGGGCCTACTGGGAAACTGTCAATTTAATTAACGCTTAAATATTACGCAAACCCAGAAAAGTGAGGTTGGGTCCTTACTGGATAGTGTCCATTTATTAATATTTCTTTTTTCTTTATAAATACTAACTAATTTGTAAAGAGACACTTTCTTTGTAAACTTCGATGGCTGTATTTAGCATCTTTTGATGACACGTGACAAAAACAATTTTTATAACAATGGTGGAAAAATAATGATTTTTCTATCTTCAGTATTTCCTTCACATTTATCTGTTGACATTCTACTGGAATGAAGAGCCCTCCTTACCTCCTTTCTTATCTAGGTGTGTTTCCGTGGATTGAGCTATACCTATCTATCTCTAATTATCTATCTCTCTACACATCATTTTTCTATTATCATCAGTGATAACTTAAGAATTCCTATTTTATTCAATGGATTATTTTCCATTTTGTACTTATTTATGCTTATGCTCATATTATCACAACTTTTCAACAAACCTGGCGATTTAGTAGCTCCTTCCAGCTGGCTCTTATTTTTTTGTTATTATTATTACTATTATTATTATTTTGAGCACTTTTTTACATTCTACAACATTTTTAAGGCTTGCCTTCCAGCCCTGAAATGAATCCAGTCAATTCTCCAAGTCCTGGTTCCTTTCAGTGGGCAATCATATTTACAAATCAAGATGAAATGTGTGTTTATTGTTGTTAGGATATCGTTGCTGCTAGGCCTATTTGACTCACAGCACTAAGATTTCTGTGCATGTGTATGTGTGTGTGCATACTGAGTATGCATACTGAGTGCATACTTATACCTTCAATTTCAATCCACCTCCTGCATGCCTTTTATAGTCTGCATTTCTATGTTCCCTCGTTCATAGTGAGAACTGAGGCTTTAAACACAAGCTCCCTTGCTCATTTACTCAATCTGACAATATACATAAAATAGATTCAGAAGTGCTAGATCCACCTCACTATGCAAACACAAACTACAGGAAAAAGTTCTAGATTTGAAGGTGGTTTTATTATCCCCTTGGACTGAGATTATTACAGCTAAAAATCTGTGTTCAGAAGTTATACGCATTCATTTGATTTACGTATTTGTATGAGTTGGTTTGGTTTTGCTTTTCCTTCCTTTAGTGTGGTTGTGTTATTCATATGAAATACATGGGATTAATTTGTTCCTGTTTGTGCTCAGATTTTTAAAAATTTCATACTGATTTGTTTTTATTTCTTGAATATATAAACTATTAACATGCATAGGAATACTGTGTATCAAAACAAAACTCATTTGACATTGCATCTGCTTATAGTTAGAATAAGGTCCTCCTTAAATCCCACTACTGGAAACATTTAAAGCTGGAGTCATATATTCTGTTCTCTGATCTTTGCCTTTCACTGGTCCGTTAGAGTGGGAGAGTAAACTTGTTTCCTTCCTTGTGTGAAGTATTCTGTTGCCAATGAGTTCCTTGAATACTGTGCTGAAAAGGCTTGTGTGAAAAAAGTCTGGATTTTGCAGAGATTCTACTACAACATGAGTATTGATGTCTGCCATAGACATGTGACCAGGACCTGGAAGCTTGTGTTTTTTTGTTTATTTATCAGAGGAAATCCTTACAAACTCTGTTTTCTGTTGTGTTGTTTTGTTTTTTAAAAGGAGGGGTAGTTTATAATGCTTCCTTATGAACTCCGAAGATTGTTCCGAAAATCGAATCATATGGCATTTGTAAGTCTTTTGTAAATTATAAATAATCTTAATATATCTCATTCTTGAGTTTGGAACATTATAGACAGATGGGTATATAAGGACTTTCTATCTTATTTTTTAAAAGACTTCGTTTGTACCTTATTTTTGGCACCTCTGCATGGTGGGAGTTAAAGTCCTACTTCAGAGATTATGATCTGTAATTTTAGAGTATGTAAGAACAGCAGGATAAAAACTGACCTCCAGCTAGCTCATACTGGCCCCTCCAATGAGCCTATGGGATACCAGTGGGTCATGATTGCAAAGCTTCCAAAAGCTTCCAAAGCTCTGCCATGTTCCCTTTAAAGATTACCTCAACTGGAATCCTAAGAGCATCTGATCACAGCAGGAGGAAAACTTCAACTCACTGCCTTTTACATTTCGTCAGCCTGACTCATGACCTTCCCAGCCAAACAGGGAACCAGTGATGGAGTCTATATATCTGTGTATATATCCTGGCTTTCCTAGCATATCATACAAATAAACATGTTTCTCTGAAGTTTTCTAGTTCAGAGTGGTAGAATACTTGCCACCATGCCTTGATCCTCAAATGGGAAATCCCTCCAACTCAGCTGGCTATGGTTGGTACTTCTGAATCAGTGAAAACAGGAGCAGGACTGAGCACTTCTCCTGGCCAGGTTCTAAAGCTGGCAATAAATTTGATTGAGCAGCAACAGCCACAGGAGAATCAAATACTGTTTTTCTTCTGCCATAAGGACGGATTTTTAAAACCATTTTGGAAACCCCATGACTCATAGGTCACTCCTACTATATTATGAAGAATAAAATGCCAAGGCAGAGTTACCATCCTGCACAACAGAATATTGGATTTATGCATCTAAGACTTATCAGGAAATAGAGGAACTACAAGAATAGCTTATCTGTATAGTAAATATTTTATTTTATTTTTCTGTTTTCATCTATTTGTTGACTAGGCCAAATGCAAAATACATTATAAAATAAACAAACAAAACACAAAGTCACCTCCTTTGAATATTTATCTCCCTCTTTCCTGGCATCAGATTGTTTATTCATTTATATTTGTATTTATTATTCATCAAAGCACTGTGATATTTAAAGCTTCATGTCAAGAGATGGAATGCAAATAGTTACTTCTCAAAAAGGAACCAACCCCAGAACTTTAAACTATTTTTAAAACTCTAAAGGTAATTTTAGCTTCACTAAAAATAAGTGATAATTTGAATCACTTGTTGTGATACATTCATAGTCTTAAGTTAAGGTACATGGGTATATTTCACGATATTATTTAATTCATTTAAGTAGGGTTTTAAAAAACCATTGTTAAATGGATGTTTTCAAATCAGCTGATTGTTTAATTGAATTTTATATTTTGAAAACATTTTTAAAGCTTGAAGTATTATGAAATCTAAAAGTGTTACATTAATTTCAAGCTGTATTGTAGAACCATATTATTCTTCTCAAATTAAATAGGTGGGTAGATAGATGTAATTTTTCTTCAATTAGTGGATTAATTAAAACTTTCATTGTTGCCTTTTATTGAATATCTACTAAAATATACTGATCTACAAGATCAGATCTTACTATTTATGCACTGAAGATAGCCTCAAACAAGAAAATACGATAGTCGACTAAATGCTTATAAAGTCTTTGTTTAAAAGCATACATTTTCAGTGTAAATTTGGGAGAGGTAGATTTACTGTGTGATCTTCCTTTATGATAAATCTCTATTATCAGAAAATGATTGTAGATGTTGTAAAATATGTTGAATTTAAAAAGGTGAGAGAGAGAAAAATAAAATTGAGGAAAATAATAATTGTGAGGCTGCACTAATGTACCACACTGATGAACTAGACAAGGCATAGAATATGAAAATGATCATAGAATGATTTCTTGATATTTCAACTACATAGAAAAATTAAGATTATAAACCTCTTCTGTGGAGGGCAAATTATTAGGATCTTTTAAAAACAGCAATATATTACAATCAGTTGTATCTATAGGAGGGTTGTCAAATGTAGCAGCTTTTGCTCAAATCAAATCAAGGCAATGTTAATGTTGGTTAAAAATAATTTCATTCTATGTTTAAAAATACCTTGTGGCTCAATCTTGATTGTACATTTTTGGTCCATCATTGTATATTATGACTCATTTTTGTCCTAAGAAGAAAAATTTACCTGCTAGAAGTATTGCATTTTCCACAACTGATGTAATATACATGCATACACCTTACATTTTAGATTATTCATTTTTGCATTCTAAACTATATGAACAAAATACCAACTGTAAAGGCATAAAGTCATTATTTAGTAGCCATCATTAATTTTATTTTGTTAGGAGACTTAGCCACATTATGGCTATTATTATTTACTCAGAGAAACTAAATTTTACTCAATCTCAGTTACAAATCTTTGATATATTTAAATGTACTCTATGTATACTCTTTTATTTTAAAAATTGAATTGGTTTATTTTTCCTTTTTCAAGATAATGAGCAATCCGTCCATATCAAATGGACATTAGTTACATTCAGCTGAAAAATGATTTTGAAAGAAATCATATTGAGCAGTCAAATAAAATAAATTATAATAAAAAATACCTTTGGTTACTAATTTCTATTGAGTTCCTACTCTCTGTGCTAAAATGATACGGTATAGTTTCCACAGCAGGACTGCATGGGTCATTGCAGCTGCTGGTGGATTTTTAAACAATGGAGCTATAACCTTTTGAAGGTAGGGATTCATCAAGGAAATGCTGACACAACCGTAACTGATGCCGTGGGAATCGCATTACTGGACTAGGCATGCTGCAGTAGGTACAGCTAGAAGTAGCCCTACTTGTGTTTTGCAAACTATGACCAAAGAGAAGTCTTTGACACTTCAGCAAGGAATGGAAGTGTCTTGCATGTTTTTATTTGTATGGTGTGAAAAGGAATGTGTTGCTGTATTCATTACCAGGTCAGCTTCTTGGGGTTGGCTAATCACTGGTCCTAATACAAATCCATGATCCCAGCTTTTCCAGATATTTGTATGGCAGGCAGCTACACAGCAGCAACTTCTGTAATCCCTTCTCCTGCAGTTAGAGCTACTAGAAAAGCTTAATAATATCCCAGAGGCAAAGATGAAACGGTATTTCCACAGCCACTGTTTGCTGTAGAGAGCTTTTGAAGTCAAGCTTAAGATGTCTTTATTTCCCTACCAGAAAGAAATTTTATTTTTGCCCTCTTTTACTCTAGTGTTGTCATGATGATGGTTTTCTGCTTGAAAAATATTCCAAGAAGCTGCAGCTCTCCCATAAAGCATTAGGGAATGAGAACTGCTTTTCATCAGGGGCTGTTGGAATCTGTAACTACAGTTTGTCACTGCCGAAACCCACGCTATGCTGGTAGTGATCTCAATTTAAAACTCACAGTTTCTTTCTTATCAGGTTTAGGGCAGCCATGACTTTTACTGTCAGCTTATTGGGGACTGCCCTAGCTTTTAACTTTAGTGGTTAATTAAATTCTAAATTGGGTGTAGTGTAGAGCTCCCAATTCAACCTTTGTTCTATACCATCTAGAAAACAAAAGCAGTAGCCCCAGATTGAACTGAAAGTTAAATTAATTGCAGTGGTAGGTAGCAAGGTGAAATTTAGATACAATTTATTAAAGATCGGGAACAGGATATTACATGTTGATTTGGAGAGCTATCATTTCAGACAAACCCTCACCAGAGTATCACAGCGAAAAGTTGTAAGGAAATGTAAAGGGTAAAATAGCCTTTTAATTATTTATTTAATTAGGTTGCACAATCATCAAGTGCAATGGGATCCAATCAGTTTTGGAGAAGAATGTAGCAACAAATTCTTATCAAAAAAATAGATGGAAGCAAGCTAAACATAAAACAAATAAAAACATAAAAGCAACACAGTCAAGGGGATTTGATGCTTCTTCATAAAACGGAGTTCTGTGACTATCTTCATATATAAGAAAAACGTGTGTACTCTTGGCAGGTAAGTGTGTGAATTTTTAAAAACTTTATTTTACAGACTTAAAATGTATTGCAATTATATTTTGAAGTTAATGCAAAAGAAATTTCAGAAAAAAATGTCAAATTCTACATATACATTTTTAACTGAAAAAATTGACATTTGAAGAGCTCTTGTTTTGTTTTTGAGTACATAAATCTCAATATCACCAATAGACATTGTAAAATAATAAGAATTATTTCATGAGGAAACAAATGCTATCAGATGAATTTTTCTTCCATATTAAAATTAAAAATTATGAAGAGTTTAAAAATTAGTAAATATTTTAATTAAGTAGTTAATTATTCTCTTAACTTAGGAAGGTTTTTGCTTAATCTGACCATCTCATCAATTAATAAAAGTGATTAAGAACATTTTTGAATTTTGAACTATGTTTTTTAATGCCCCCCTTACTTCCAGACAGGATTGGAGAAGCTGAGATACTTACCATATTACTACCACATAGGTGTATAATTTGTTTCACAGTGGTAGTCCAAATAGTTCAATATCAAAGTTGGGAAACATGACTAATGGGGTTAGTCCTAGGATGAGTGCTATTTAATAATTCCATCAATCATCTCAAAACATGCTCATTTACTTAGTTAATAACATCAGATTGGGAAGGGTTATTTAGCACCTTGAAGGACAGAATTGAAGTATAGCGTGACCTTGAGAATTACCAAGTTTCACAAGTTATCAGAATCAAATTATAAAATCTTATGAAAAATGCATATTAATGTTGTTCTACAGGACTAAATACCCGAATGACATATATTGAGGCAGGACTTTTTGCTCCTTAGTTCAGCTAAAGTCAAGGTTCTTGTCACAGTACCAGGAAAAATTAGGCACATAGACACATTGAAAGGTGAGGATAATGGAATTTATTAAATGAAAGCTCTCAGTGAAAAAAGGGGTCCTGCCCACAGGCTCCCACCTCACAGACTGAATACCAGGCCGCCACACAGGAGCTGAAGAGGCCAGGCTCCTTCCCCCTGCATAAGGTGTGAATTCCCGGTGGCTCCACCCCATTCTCCCAGTGCACAGGTGGGCCCCCAGTCCAGCCATGCCCAGGCAAGGCCCTGGGTAGGATCCCTTATCTTCCTCCTGCATCTGTCAATATGAAACATGTAGATTTATTAATTTTAGTAAAAAAGAATATCTCTGTCTCAGTGGGGAATAAAATGAATTATAAATCACTCTCTTCCTGAGAGACAATACTGCATGCTGGTTAAGAGCATGACCACTGAAATTTTCTAGTCTGGGTTCAAATCCTGATTCTATCTCTCACTAATATGTCTGTTTATTGTCACACTACTTAATATCTCTTGGGTACAGCTTTCTCATCTGCTAACGGGTGAAAATTGTAGTACTATATTCATTAATTATTCATAATTGTAGTACTATATTCATAATTGTACTGCTATATTCATTATTTTGTAAGAATTACACAAGGGACTCAAATCAGTGCCTAGAATGAAAAGAGCTACAGAAACACAAATGTCTGTGACGTGTCTATGGTAAAGGTCACTGAACAAGGAGTGAACAGAACAATTTGGAACTATTAGTCATCAGGAATGACATTCTAAGAAAGGTGAGTTTAGATCTAGTTTCTGAAGATGGCGAGGTTCATGATTGGCATATAAAGAAAGATATTTGTTTCAGACAAGCACAATTATATTCTTCCAGAACCTTAAAAGTATTTAAATCAATATAGGGTACTTTTCATATCCTCTGTTGGCAGCTAGAAAACATCTGGGACTTAAGAAATTGAGTGAGTTTCACTCCAAATGGAGAGCCATGGAAAGTCTTATAAGAATACAATATGATAAAATATTGAGAATTACTGGCATGGTCTAATGGGTGAAAATTTGTACTTTGTGATTCTTATATAATAGGTGCTAAGGATAATTGAGTATTTCTTTATTCAACTGCAAACACAAATCAATGGCATTCAATTCTGAAAAATGTCACTTTATTGAAAATGACATTTTCAATTTAAAAAGTAGCAAAATATAGCTACAAACAAAACGAAATGTAGCAAAACAAAATATAGCAGTATTTTGGAATAAATAATTCCCACAAATTATTGAAAATGAAATGTGGCAAAACAAACAAAATGTAGCAAAATGTGAAAACAAAATGTAGCAAATGTTTTAGAATAAATAATTACCAGATTTAATTTCAGGCCCTCCTGAAATTTATGAATGTCATTCTTTCAGGTCAGAAAGATTCTAGATATGAGTGAAAGTATCAGAATCATCTGGTAATACTACCCAGTAATACTACCAGGAGGATGATGCTTCTTCTGTCACTGTGAGAATTATCAACAAGTGAGTCACAGTTATGCATGAGAAATGATATCAGGTAGTGCTGGCCATGAAAACTTCATGATCCTTTATTGTTATGTTAGATTCTACCACATATGTCCTTCTTATATTTGAGTATAATTAGACTGAGAATTTAATTTATTCATCCTCAGTTCCTTCATCTTTACTACAGGAATATTACAAATTATTAAACCATAGTAGGAAAGATTAATTTAAATATTTTTCAATACTTTGCCAATATGAGTGCTACATGTGTGCAAAATTACAAGACATCACTATATGCTGAAGATAGCCACACCCAAGTTCATAATGATTTAGTGTACATAAAATACTGCCCCAGTTTGAACTTCAGTTAATTAGGTCAAGGTAATTTGCCAATCTTTCTAATATCTTTACCAGAGCACTAAGGAGCAGTAATGATAGGCATCTCTGTAGTGCCTAGAGATAGATGCTGAACAGAGCTGACTCAAGTGGTTTACTGAAATTGGTCATGCCCTACAAGCCTACAGATTTGTGGCCATTACTCACTCGTTCCCCAATGCCAGTTGTCATACGAATGTCCCCTCAGCTGTTCCCAGCTGCTTACTCTTAGTTTTGTACAAACGTAGCCCAAGCCTTTCTAAATCCATCATTAAAGTTGTCATCAGAACCATTGAAACTGACCATAACAAGATCCAGAGATTTTTCAAAGAACTGATCCTATTCATGTTTATTTGGGGCATTATCTTCCACCGTTAAAAATCATCTCTTGTTTTCTTTAATAAACTTCTGTTTTTTCAGCTGAATATATAGAAAATGTGTCATTTTTCATAAATGTTTCTTCTGTGTGCTTTTATTTATTTTCAGAAATACTAAGAATACAGTGTACTTCAGGATTTAATCTATAGCCTGCTGCTAAACTATTTATGTAAAAATAATAGCTAGCACATTAAGAAAAATGATATTAAAACTAGAACAACTGCAAACACCTGAGAGAAATATCAAACTCTGCAAATGTTTCTTAAAGTTAAAATGGAAATATTTGATCAAATTTAAGGAGGCATTTCTTTAACCTTGGTCAAGAATTTCCTTCAATAGGGATGGGGGAAGGGATTTAGTCATGAGATTAAGGATTTAAAATTTTAATTTTAGTTGGCCACTTGAGTACCTGAAATAACTGAATAGGGTCAGGGTGGCATTCCACTGATTTCATTAGGAACAAATTATTTTTCTAATCATCTTCACTTCTGTTCAGTGCCTACTTTCTGATAATTACAATCTCAGGGGTGGTGGTGAGGAGAGTGAATTTAATTTCAAATATTAAAGGTAAAATTTATGGTCCCTACAATAATAAATATTAAATAAACTCTCACTTACAATTTTTAGAATTGAGAGGAAAAAAGCAACTTAGCCTCAAAGGACTCCTACTTTGATAATTAGTATTTTTTTTCAAATTTCTCTTTCTATCTGCCCTTTTCTTCCCAACATGTGTGACTGTGACTTATCTAATTGCATTCATCACTCCTTCAAAAAAATCAACAAATATTTATTGAGGATTTGCCAGGCCCCAGGTTCTGAATAAGACACTAAAGGTAATATTGTGAGGTAGACAATGATACTTACTCTCATACTGAGACTAGGTAAACTAAAAAAGCAAACAGAAAAATGACATGTAATGTCCTCATTAGAATTTCATGGCAGTAGGAAAAAAGGACACAAACCAATCTTATGTTTGAGGAAGTGATGGCTTTCCAATAGACAGACCTCACCCTGTGATTAGGCAATGGACACAGACATGGGAAAATAAAACAAAACAATAACACACAAACACTTTGACTCAATTTTATAATACTTGATTAGGCAGTGTTAGTGGTGTAGATGTACAAAAAATTTAGTTAAATTTATTTCTCTTGTTTTATGGCTTAGTATATATTTCATTTTGAATTGCATGTAGCATTGACATCTAACCTGTGACCTGGGAAACATGAGGAGCTCAGGAATTTGGTGAAAAGCCCTATCCTTGGCATGTGGAATAGATTTGACAAATGATCTGAAAGGAAACACAGCCTGTTCTAGAAATTGATAATGATTTCCTTACAAGAACATGAGTTTCTTTAATCGGAAAATCTTGCCTTAGTCATGTCTGTTAATACCAACATCTAGAACAGTGCTTATCAAATTTTAATATAAAATCACCTGTAGTATTTTGTTAAAATACTCAGAATTTTTCAGAAGGTCAGAGATGAGCCTGTGATTCTACATACCTGACAAGTTCCCAGCTGATGTTGATGCTGCTGATTTGGGGACCACACTTAGAAACTCAAGGAACTAGTACCTTGCCTAGTCAAATTGTATAGCTCGCAATCTTATATAGACTTACATAGTAATAATTTAAATAAAATGAGATTATTTAAATAAATGTATATGTCATAAACTATGGAAGCATAGATGAAGACAGGAAATTAGTTATCCTGGAAGACTTCTGAGAAATGGCATTTGAGAAGAATCTTAATGTTTGTTTTGAATTTCAATGGATGGGCCAAGATTTTTACAAAGCTTTCCTGTGGATCTTTAGCTCCGGGGAGTTTAGGGGACATGCAACAAATATGACAGCCATTAGAATACTGGATTGAAGACTTTTTGAATAATACTTTGCTAAAGCATGCAAACTGCAATCATTCCTAAATTGACAAATTTAAATTCATGGTCAGAAAAACTTACTACATGTTGACAAAGTTTCAGTTAGTCTAAGCTGGCAAGCCTAATCTTTATTTTGTGAGTATTTTATCAGTTATTTCCAGCATTTTCTTCACTAAACTGAGATCACTGGAAAAGAAATTTCAGAAATTTCAATTGTAATAATTTGTGTGATGCTTAATATTGTGTGCGAGCTTGGTGAGACCAGGAACCTAGATATTGGTCAAACACCAGTTTGCACGTTGCTGGGAGGGTGATTTTTAGGTGATATCAACATGAAAGTCAATAGACTTTGAGTAAAGCAGATTGTCCTCCACAATGTGGGTGGAACTTGTCTCATCAGTTGAGACCTTAAGAGAAAACAGACTGAAGTTCCCTAAAGAAGATAAAATCCTGCCTCCAGACTATCTTCAGGTTTGAACTACAACATCAACTTCCCTGGGTCCATATTGGACCCTGCTGATTTTTGGACTTGCCAAGCCTCCATAGCTGAGTGAGTAGACACACTCACACTCAAGCACATATGCAAATCCTATTGGTTCTGTTTCTCTGGAAAACCCTGACTAATACATTTTACTTCCTCTAATTCTAAAAACCTATTATATACATAGGACTGTCAGTGTTTATACAAATAAAAATTTAAAAACTACATATCAAGATAGTTTTTGAACACTTGTTAGGTAATGATTTCATGCTGTTTAGTTCCTCAGAGGTATTCAGGAAAAGAGTTGGGCTATCTTTAACTATAGGTGCCACAATTAATGGATCAAACTACTACTTACAGAAAAAAAACTGTTACATGCATGAATAAATGAATAAGATACATTGCCTCAGTTCAGTTAATTTAAAAACATATTTGATGAGTACATGTCTGTGCCAGACTTTGTGCTAGGAACGGGGATAGAAGATGACTGAGACAGAATTTCTGCTATAAAGGAGAAGACACATTCAATATTATGTAGTAAGTGCAATGATAGGTTAGTATGGGGTACTCATGAGGCTATAGTCAGCATCCAGCAGGGATGAGTAAATAAACACTACTCTACAAATAGCATCCATTTGGAACATAAGCTGTTTGTGGTGTAGAGTGCCTTGTGGTTATTTTGGGAAAATAAGCCATTAACCATGAACAATACTACCATACAGCCTAAATTAAGTGTTCTTAAGGATTTTGTCATGGGGACCAAAATAAATGGAACAATTGGAAAACAGTGCTCTTGTGGAGTCTATCCTCAGCCTGACTTGCTTTGATAGTGTTAAGTCATAAGTTGAGGGGTTAGAGTCCTGGAAGAAGCAGTGAGGGAACACAGCAGAAATGTGCCTACCTTTTCTGTGACTCTCTCTCCCTGCTGCTCTGATTGACCCAATCACATTTGGGTGGATCCACATCACAAGCCTGTCAGCAGAGCCCTGCTGTCAGCAAGTCATGAAGGCCTCAGTCCCTTCACCTCATTGGTGCCCTCAAACTGAGACAGTAGAGATTTGCTGCCACTCACCTATTAGCCTACTCTTTGCAATTGCCCACAGTATTTCTTGGGTCACTCAGTTTAGACTGGGAGTTTGGCTTGGGAATAGTTGAACAGCTCCAGACAATGATTATACTGCAGTGTGGTGACTTTGGGTTAATGTGCACTTTTAGGCCTTTTCCTAGGAACAGAAGGGAATAACCAGATTACTTGTCATCCTAGACATTCAACCACTGGTCTGGAAAGGTGGAATTTCTAGACTTCCTTTGCTGGAAAGCCAAAGAACCATAATTATTTGGAAACAATTCAATGGTCCACCTGATGTGCAATAAGCATTCATGAAATGTCAACATGATGATGTTGATGAGAAGTATTGGGCGATGAAGACAATTGCAGCTAAAAGAGGAAATCATTGCTCTCTGCTGTTGTTTTTAGTGGACTTTTGTGTTTCATGTTATTTTTCTCATTTCTCAGATAAGGCAAATGAAATGAAGTGGGGAGGGATCAAATTAAAATATGCAAATTTGTCTAGGTCAACTAAATGTCAGGTAGCTGTCAAAAGAAATGCAAGGAGTGTGTTTGCTGGAAGCCACTTTTTACGGTGTATTTTCTTTACTTTAACTGATCACTACCTATGGCATGTAGCCGTTCACAGGCAAATGCAAATGGATAGTTTTCCAGAGGTCTAGAGTGGAATATAGCTGCTTCAGCAAATTGAGTGAGAAAAGAAAGAGACCCACCCACAAAGACACACTCATGCATGCATGTGTGTGTGTGTGCATGTGCTCACAGACACACACACATTTCTACTGTTCACGGCTATTGACAGCTCCTTAAGCTTGAAAGGGAGGGTTGGGATTATTAAAGCTCTTTGTTTCAAGCAATTTAGTATAGGTAGGAATGGTAAAGGGGGGCAATGAAGGGGCTGAACATCCAAAGACATATTTTAATTTTCAAATTTAGAACTAACTGCAAAAGCCAGGAGAGTAGCATCTGTGTGCCACTGACTATTCATTAGATTGCTGGCAGCAACATTATCATTTTAGCAGAAGATACAACAACTTCACTAAATTGTGGTGTTTCTTGCATCTGTGTGAGTGCGCCTTTGACACTGAAAAAAAAATCCTACAGTGCAGCTTCCAATAATTTTATTCTCGTTGTTACCACTTAAAAATTCTCACTGATTGAGATGTTACATATCATTTTGAGTGGTGTTAACTTAATTATTTCTTATCTGTTGAGGATTTAAACATGCTGGTGTAGCTGGCATTAATTATTTAATAAAGAAGAAAATGATCTGTAGAGTAGAGATGTACTGTAGATGAAGCCATTTTTTAAAAAAATCTTGCCCTTAACTTCATCTCTCTTTTTTTTTAGACTTCAAAAAGGTTCATGGTACCTGCAAATTAATTTTAGATAAAATAGGGAAATTTTAAGTACAGGAGCTGAAAACTTAATTGTCTGTATTATTAATGAAGGGTTTGCTTATCAGTGCCTTTAATTTCTTGAAATGCTTCCTTCTCAAGCGTGGCAGGAAATATTGAAATGTCAGACCCCCATGGGAGCCACCAAAATATTCATGAGTGCCTTAGAGAATTTTATCTATGTACAAAGAGAAAAAATATACGCCTAGATATAGATCAGGAGAAACTTAATTTTTTTCTCACATGAAATGCCTTACAAATGAAGATGTATTTTTTATATAATCAAAATTTAGTTCTCATAAACTGCAAAATTCTAGCCATTTATTAAAACACAAAATGATTACAAGTAAGTGATAATAGTTAAATAATATTTAAATGATTTAAAAAATTATAAAGACTAATGCACATGTCTAAATAATGTGGAAAGGGAGGAATCCCATCCACCACAAAAAAGAACTCAAATCCATCTTGCTCTCTAATTAGGAACAACCCTCAGATTTCTTCTTACTTTTGGCATCTCTCCTTTACATTAAATTTGACTGCTGCAATTACCTTAAATCATTCTACCTAAAATATATTATCAGCTTCGAATATTCTCTCAGTAGAAAAGATACATAATTTTCACTTGGGCAGTTCTCCTATTTTCAGCTAACTGATTATAAAACCATCCTCATTTTCAATTTAGATCTTTATTTTCTTCCTCTCCATAGAATGTGTGCTTTCTAAATCCAGATTTATTTTCCAGGGTAAATTTCATTTTGAGACATGATTTATTAGAGGCAAAATAATAATTTTAGTTTTGAGTATTAAGTTGCTCAGGGAGCAGGGGTGCAGAGGGCGGTAATGTTGAGAAATAGATAAAAGGAAAAGACTAAGGAAAGTCCGAAAGAGAGAGAGAAAAAAAAAAGCTGATTTACGGTGAAACAAATTATCTATTAAAATTATTTAATAAAGCTTTTTGAGATGGCCAAAAGTTGAAGCTATTGAAAAACACTATATTTATTTATAACTGTCAATCAGTTTTTAGAATGGATTTTAAGGAATCAGTAACAATTTTTAAATTCCTTCATAAATGATAATTTTATTTTATCAGTTATATAAGTTCAGATTCTCCTTTTCTGTGTATGGTTTCGGTGAAGGGCACTCTCTGAAATCAATTGAAATGATTATAGTTGGAGTTACCGTTTTATAACCTTAAAATATAATTGATATGACTATGTTTTAATTGTTCTAATACTTAAGAACTTATTATAGTTTCAGTATTTATTATAGTAAGTTATCAAAATAATTTATGAGTCACATTTGAATGCAAATAGACAAACTCTTCTACACTGGAAAAAGCTTAAAATGTACCTTATGTAAACTAAAGCTGGTATGCACAGAATATACAGCAAAGTATATTAAAGAGCTGATTTGGATAATTTTGGCAGAAGATGATCATTTATATAACTCCATAAGTAATTTGTTTATAACGTGCAGCCAGAGATGGGAAGAAAAGAAAAAGTAAGGTCTTTAGTCAAATAGCAGTGGATTTTTAAGTCTATAGGCCTGACTTTAGTATTAATAACCAGTTCTTCCCATCCAAACATTTATACTGTCTTTAGAACATTATTTAAGGATTTTTTAAAACCACTGGTAGAGATAATTTCTTATTCTTTGTTCTTATTAAGATTATTATAGCCCCCTTTAATCTTCAAAACATTTTTTTCAATTGCATATCATTCAGATAAGTAGAATAATTCCACATTTTCACTAATCATTGAGAAATGTAGAAACATTCTAAACTAGGTGCTATTCATGTAATGCTAGAAGGATGTCAATCAATAACTTTTTGAGGAACAATTTGATAATGAGTAATAAAAAAACAGAAAATTCACAAACTCATTAATTTGAATTATCTTTATGTAATGGATGCTAAGGAAACAATAAATAATATGCACACAAATGTATATATAAAGATTTTCTAGTACTCTTCAGTTTACAATGCAGAAAGCAAACTGAAAATATCAAATGTGTCCTTAAAAAACCCCCTCATGGGAATGGAATAAATAAACAATGGTTCACAGAATTCTAGTACACTGAACTACTTTGCACCAGTTAAAATGTTGTTAGAAGAATATTCAATAAATGAAAAGAGTAAATGAAATACAGTTAACGTGGAAAAGAGAGTTGCTCTGATCTCATTTCTTTTAAAAAATGAATTCCATGTATTTTTAGGAAATATAAAGTCCCAAAATGCACATTACAAATTTTAAAATGTAAAAAATGTTCAAACATTTTGCCAGTTGAAAGTTTTAAAATACTAGACAATAAAAATCATGTTTTTCAATCCAAATAACATGTATAGTGAACCTTTCAAAAGGCTTCATATTTCCTGTTTCTAAAATCTTGACCCACATGAGAAGACAGTTTTGGAAGCAGTAAGACCTGTTCAAGAATCCTGAGCTGTTCCCGGGAGACTCTCCTGTGCTGTGCACTGTGTGCACCACTCAATTATTTCCTCCCTGTCTTCATCTTCTGTTCTCTTATTCCTACTTCTCTCCTCCTTTCCCTCTCTTCTCTCAAACTCAATCCTGCTCATCCTACCAGCTCCTCTCCTCATTCTACTTGCTCCTTTTTCTCCTCCTTGCCTCTACTTTTTGCAGCTACCTTCCTCTTATACTCTTTTTTCCTCCTATAGTATTCTTTCTCTTTATTCTTTTTCTCATCATCCTTTGACGAACTTTTGCTGACTGGAGAGTCTGAGGACTGACTATAGGTATGTCTTATCTAGAGCATGTGCTGTCTTTTACTTTGTTGCCTTTCTAATAATAACAACCATAATGGGATTTTAAGAACAAACACCCTCTGATTTAGAATCTAATAGATAACCTCTCAGAGCTAAAGACAGGAAGGCTCCTAAGAGTATCAGAGTATCATGAAGCCTGCCATAGCAACGACAATAACCTTAACACATGCTTACAAAAGCTTGTGCTATAATTCTTTTTTATGCTAATGAAGCTGAATCATTTATGAGTTAATTATATATTGTATAGTGTAGTAATAAAGATGCTGCTCTTGTATGTTAAAATGTGGCCTTTTATAAGACAATGCTGGTTAAAGGCAGTATTTAAAATGACAAAAATATCCTGTATATTATTTAAAAATGCATCTAAAACTATGTGAACAATGAAAAGTTTAGGTATTTCTTCTCAACATTACACATACCTAATTTAACAGCTCTTTTACATTTACAAGTCTTTATGAAAATCTGGTATAACCTTCTGAGGACTGCATTCTCTTTTATGTCCCCAACCCCACATCTACTCAAGAGCTTGCTTGGATGCCAACAGGAGAATATAAGGTAATCACAAGGCCCACCCTGAACAAGTGACTAAAGAAGAATAAAAATCCTGCTGGATGAAAGATCCAAAGACCTACAAAGTAAGATATTCAAGCAAAGCATTGCAGGCCAAATGGCACTCCCTGTTCATGTGAAAATGTTAACATTCAAAACATGCAGCCATAATTATTCAGTACCTGTAAGGTCTGTTAATGCTGAAAATAGCTGATAGTTGTCACCCACTACCCAGCCATTTTCCTAGCAAGGCATGGGGAAACAAATTAAGATTCATTCTAAACCTGGAAAAGTTATGATTTCAGTGTTTTGAGGGGCTTTTCAGATGATGGATGATGTTAAGAAAACCAAATAACAAGGGGAAAATGTTTGAAGCCATGAAGCAGCATGCGCTCTGAATCTTTATGGGAAAGGCCACCCATGACCTTCAGAAGGGTATGTGCACTTGGCAGGATATGTTATCTGAGTTTGCTTTCTCATTACCTCTTTTGAGTCTTTGGAATAGATTGTCTCTGGTCTCTATTTGATCTCAAAGCTTATGATCTTCCACATTTTTGTGAAAGCTGTCCCCCTCCTCTCCAGAAATACACACACACACACACACACTCCAACATGTTTTATCTCTGCCATTACTGTGAATGTTGGAAAAAATGCTGCATATGTAACTAGTTCATTGAACAATCTAAACTTAAAATGATTTTAGTTTTTTAAAATTCTTTGGTCACTTTTAAGTATAACAATTCCATCTAGGATAAAAATTCAGTTGCTCTTCCAATGTCTTGCTCTTCTCCTTCCCTTCCCTCAGTGATGGACCCAGAGGGATTTGGGCCTGCTCTTCTGCTTCTCCTCTCCTCCCTCTAGTGGGGCATCCCATCTTTTTCCTTTTGCGAGTGAAGACTCAGGAATTGGAAAGACAAAATGTCTTTCTGCTGCAAGACTTCCTCCTTAACTGTCACTGCTTTTCTTCTCAAGAATGATGACCCAAGGCCAGGTGCGGTGGCTCACGCCTGTACTCCCAGCACTGTTGGAGGCCAAGGTGGGCAGATCACGAGGTCGGGAGATCAAGGGCATCCTGGCCAACATGGTGAAACCCCGTCTCTACTAAAAATACAAAAATAAGCTGGGCAAGGCAGCACACACCTGTAGTCCCAGCTATTCAGGAGGCGGCTGAGGCAGAAGAATTTCTTGAACCCGGGAGATGGAGGCTGCAGTGAACCAACATCACACTACTGCACTCCAGCCTGGGCAACAGAGCGAGACTCCATCTCAAAAAAAAAAAAAAAGAAAAAAAAAAAGAATGATCACCCAGTGATTTCCACACCACCGCCAACCAGATCACCAGCATCCTAATGCTGGCTCTTAAGCAGATTCATATGTGAGTCTTGCTGGTATCCCTGCAGGTTCCCTCCATGTATATGCCATTGAAGAGAGAAGGGAGTTTATCATAACAAAAGGAGGATAAAGCCACAACACTCACTAATGGACAACATGTCCTAATTTAAAGCCTTTGTTTATTACTGTCCTAAATTCATACTTCCATCTTATTATACTAACTGGGAAGTTAATAGTTGGAAGAAGTATTGTTCTGTTGCTTATTGTTGGGGGTGGGTGTGTGCATCTGTGTGTGTATTTGCAAAACTTAATAAAATCCTGAGATGCCTGGTACCATTTTTTTTTTTTTGCTTTCTTTAGGATACTCTTAGGGTTACCTCTCCCCAAGATTCTATCAAAGTGGCCAATTTAGGGCAATAGGAAGTGGTTCACTGAATCTCCTATTAATCCACATAGAGATGATTGTTCTGAGACATTATTTTATTCATTTCCCTAGGAGAAATTTACCCCAAAAATTATTCTTTTGGTTGAAGAATGAGGACTGCATTGGGTAGAAGAATCCAAAGAAGAGATGGACAACAGAACTACAAACAAGGCAAGGTGTAGCTAGGCTTCTCAACACTGGAACCAGTAAAGAATATACCTCTAAAATTTGAATTCTATTTTTTATCTCTTTCCTCTATATTAATATAAGTGACCTTCAATATGGTATAGCTTTCTTTATATGCTGGGAAATGCGGCCACCAAAATCCTACATTTAGCATATAAAAACTTTGAAAGACCATATAAGGGTCTAGTTTTCCCAAATTTTACAAGAACTTCATTGTGACCAGTAAATTATGAACAGTGAAGTAACATCATATAAAAATAAAGGCGGGGCACGGTGGCTCACGCCGGTAATCCCAGCACTTTAGGAGGCCGAGGCAGGTGGATCATGAGGTCAGGAGTTCAAGACCATCCTGGCCAAGATGGTGAAACCCCGTTTCTACTAAAAATACAAAAAAATTAGCCCGGCATGGTGGCAGGCTCCTGTAATCCCAGCTACACAGGAGGCTGAGCCAGAGAATTGCTTGAACCCAGGAGGCAGAAGTTGCAGTGAGCCAAGATTGCACCATTGCACTCTAGCCTGGGCGACAGAGCGAGACTCCATCTCCAAAAAAAAAAAAAAAGTATACAAGTAACTATATGAAATTAGTCAAATGTTCGTCAACTCATGCATGGATAAATAAAGTTTCATACATGCATACAACAGGATATATTTGGAAGTAAAAAAAATAAGGACTAAGGTATGTTATAACAGGGAAGAACCTTTCTACAGTGACATAAAATAGATTAGCAGTTGCTTAGGGCTTTTGAGGGAGGTCAAAAATGTTCTAAAGTTAGACTATGTTGATGATAGCACAGTCCTGTGAATTTACTGAAAACATTGAGTTCACTTTAAGTAGGTGAATTGTAAGGTATGTGAATTATATGTCAATCAATCTGTTTAAAAAAGACAAGTAGATCTCGAGTCCCCAGGAAATGAAACAGTTAATTTTACAGGTATATCCACCACTACAACACATACAAACACAAACAGAAAAGATTTACCTAAGAATACACTATAGAAAAATATACAAAGTAGATGTCAAATTATCCATCTACAAAGAACTAAGCACACTAACACATAAACAAATCTGAAGAAAATAGAATAACTGAAGCTAAATGGAATCAATCAGTAAAGGATTTATAAGTGATGTCAATATTTTGTTCATTTATTGAAGAGGGCAGCAGACTTTTGCCTAAGAAATAGAATGATCATATATCCATCTCAGTTGGCCTGAAATATTTTCAATTTATATTGACTATCTTGGCATCCTGATTTAGATTTGTCTTGGATTATTTATTTATTTATTTTTTACTGAATAGTATAATGAAATGTTGCTCTAAAATAAGATGAGATGGTTTTGATAGAATTCTACTTTGCATTTTCAGCATCTGCATTAGCCTCCTTTAGTATTTAATAAAACAAATGTACAGTGGACATATTTTTCATTTTAATATGCAGATAAATAAGAAAGACAAGCAGCAATAACCTGTCTCTCTTTTTCCAAGCTTTCCTATCCTTTCCCTTTCAAGACGACAGCTGGAAGGCACCTGCTGATAAACCAAGTGTACACAGACAAGGTGCTTGTGCTGGGTGCTAAGTGCAAGGAGCTGAAAACAGCATTAGACACTGCTATCTTTCTGAAGATCAGAAGTGTCTTCACTACCTGAAAGATACATGAAAGATACCAGATCATCAGCCTACATGATCTGTGGGGGACACAGAAAAACATAGGTCAGATATATCTGAAATGTGTACAGGAGAAAGAGGTCATTGAGTCCACAGAAAGGTCTGGAGTGCTTTTATCATTTAGTGTAAAACTACAATTACCTATTTTATGGCAACCCATTTTTTTATTTTCCAATAAAATCATTTAGTAGCAATGAACTGGTTTATGTTTAATGAGACATTTACTTAATTTTTACTGTTTCTACAGTTTTTATTTTAATTTCAGAATTTCTATAACTTTTTCCATTTTTTAATTGTCTCACGGAGTTCTGTTTTTTAATTTTTCTTTGTTTTAAATCTTTTCTATGTCTTTATCCTTCTTCTTCTTTTATTTTAATTAGTTCTGCCCAAGCAAGTTCTACAAATCTATTCTTGACAAAGCTGAGTGCTTAAGGGGAGCATAGATTTGTGCTTGAGCTAGCCCAGCTTAGCAGGTGTGTCTGGTCCCAGAGATGTCACCTACCAATGTCTGTAGAGATTTCTTCAAGACCAAGAGTGTTCTTTTCAATGTATTCAAGATGTTACCTTATTCTAAGTCATTCTATTTCAGTGAATGCCAGAACCACACAAAAATTATGTTCTGGATTTCTATATCCCAAGAAGGTAACATGCATGTGTACTTTCACTACTGTTGACATTTATCATTCACTATGGGTGCCATAATGTTATCACTGACCAGATGAAAAACAGAAGACCTAGCCTGCAGAAAAATCCTTATCCTCAACTTCAAATACAAGCAATTATTTTGAGAAGATTATGCTGGAAAATGGCAGATCACAAGCAACTGCAGAGGACTGTGCTTGCATACCACTCTGAAAAATGTAACTTTTTATTTTTTTTTATTATACTTTAAGTTCTGGGGTACATGTGCATAATGTGCAGGTTTTTTACATAGGTATACACATGCCTTGTTGGTTTGCTGCACCCATCAGCCAGTCACTTGCATTAGGCATTTCCCCTAATGCTATCCCTCCCGTAGCCCCCCACCCCCTGACAAGCCCCGGTGTGTGATGTTCCCCTCCCTGTGTCCATGTGTTTTCATTGTTCAACTCCCACTTATGAGAGAGAACATGCCGTGTTTGGTTTTCTGTTCTTGTGTTAGTTTGCTGAGAATGATGGTTTCCAGCTTCATCCATGTCCCTGCAAAGGACATGAACTCATCCTTTTTTATGGCTGCATAGTATTCCATGGTGTATATGTGCCACATTTTCTTTATCCATTCTATCACTGATGGGCATTTGGGTTGGCTCCGAGTCTTTGCTATTGTGAATAGTGCTACAATAAACATACGTGTGCATATGTCTTTACAGTAGAATGATTATAATCCTTTGGGTATATACCCAGTAATGGAATTGCTGGGTCAAATGGTATTACCACTTCTAGTTCCTTGAGGAATCACCACACTGTCTTCCACAATGGTTGAACTAATTTACACTCCCACCAACAGTGTAAAAGCATTCCTATTTCTCCACATCCTCTCCAGCATCTGTTGTTACCTGACTTTTAATGATCACCATTCTAACTGGTGTGAGATGGTATCTCATTGTGGTTTTGATTTGCATTGTGGTTTTGATTTGATTTGCATCACTGATGACCAGTGATGATGAGCTTTTTTTCATATATTTGTTGGCCTCATAAATGTCTTGTTTTGAGAAGTGTCTATTCATATCCTTCACCCACTTTTTGATGGGGTTGTTTGTTTTTTTCTTTGTAAATTTAAGTTATTTGTAGATTCTGGATATTAGCCCTTTGTCAGATGGATAGATTGCAAAAATTTTCTCCCATTCTGTAGGTTGTCTGTTAACTCTGATGATAGTTTCTTAAAGTTGATGCAGTTTCTTCATAGCATTGATGGTCTTTAAAACTTGGTATGTTTTTGCAGTGGCTGGTACCGATTGTTCCTTTCCATGTTTAGTGCTTCCTTCAGGAGCTCTTGTAAAGCAGGTCTGGTGGTGACAAAATCTCTCAGCATTTGCTTTTCTGTAAAGGATTTTATTTCTCCTTGATTATGAAGCTTAGTTTGGCTGGATATGAAATTCTGGGTTGTAATGTAACTTTTTATTTACAGCAAATGACTTATTCACAATTACTCACGTTTTTAATTTTATGTTTTCTTGTACATTCAAAAAGTATAGCTAGGGACATCTTGGATCCATTTGCAGAACTTTGCATCAATTAAATTATTCCAGTTTGATAAACAATGTCATTACTTTGAATAGAAAACCAGCTAACCAGAATAAAAGTTTGATCTTTTTCTTACAATTTATGAAATCAAAGTTGAGCCTTGGAAAATTTTCTTTGAAATACCTGATAGTGTTGTGGCTATATAAATTCAGATAAAAACTCAGCATTTAGAAAAAATAATTTTGTGTGTGGTGAAAATAAAAAGTTTTACTTAAAGAAAATTATAAATTAAAATTATCCTCATAATTGCTTGTGGTACACATATACCTTAAAAGTGTGTTCAAGCAAACTGTACTATTTTGAACAACCTAAACAGGAGCCATAGTTGACAAAAATTAATTTTACATATACTCAGATGAACTAACTACACATTTTTCTCATACACTGATGTTGGATAAAAAATATCTCACGGTGGTAATATAGACTTCCTTTGTCATTCAGTAATAATTTGATTTTAGATACAGTTGAGCCTATAAGGAAGTACTTCATATATCATAAATCAGAACACGTTTCCTATATTTCCTATATTGAACTATTTTGTAATACTTTGGTTGCATTAAAAAAAAACAAAATCTTTAAAGTACTTAATGAATGTAATACTTCAAATTTTTAGTTTTTAATGCTATTAGCGAATCAAGTTATTGAAAAAAGCATGCAAACAGGAAGAAGTTAAATTGTATTTATATAAAACAGAAAACTGAAGAACAATATTGAGAACTCAGTATTCAAAATTTATTTTTGAACTGTATGCTTGTACTTTGAAATATTTATGTTTGTAAAAAGAAAATTTTGATAGAGCTTTTGTTTGCATTGAATGAATGTCTCTATTCAGATATGGAATAAAATTGAAAGAGTTCTAAGTTTTTGCTGCATTTAAATTTAATGAAATAGTCAAAATAATCATAAATATTAGTAAATATAACTTTTTGATGGGTTTTTTCTTACAAAAATAATTATCAGATAAAGGGACTCTGGAAAGTAGCAACGAGAATGAAACTTTAAAATAATTGGATTGATACATGTAAGCATTTCAGTCAAAATAAAGTATTGGGAATATCTTTCATTTAACATAATTTGTTTTCATGTAGTCAATGGAAAAGGTGAATAATTTCAAATGTACATACTAAATATAGAGTGCAACTGTAGGAAGATACTAAAAATTTTTATGAACATAAATAATAAAACTGAAAATAATATTTCACCAGATAAATACAAGTAACTCAATATTAGAGAAAAATGCAGTTTAGAAAACAAATTGATATGTAATGTTAATATATAATTAATATATGTACATTGAGAATATTTTTTGGCTTCTATTATTTTTAATATTTAGATAACCAATATAAATTAGGTTTCATATTTTGTTTAAATTTATGATGATATATGTACTTTCAAATGTTTTAGAAAAAAATTGAAAATAGTTTTATTAGAAGTAGTTTATAAGTATACTGATAAGCCAGTTTTTAAAAATCAACAATTAAGCATTTTAAATTGTGTACATTTTATTAATTTAGTATTACCTATTATCTCAAACCTATCCCAATGTCACGAACAATAATTGTTTGATAGCAACCACCCTAAATCCTTCAACAAATAATTATTATTATTTTTCAGGGTTTTGTGATTGACTGGGTTCAGCTGGATTCCTGGAAGAGGTCTCTCATTCAATTGCAGTCAAATTGTAGCTGAGACTACAATATGAAGACTCAGTTGGATTCGGATAGCTTATTCACATGGTTGATTGTTGATATTGGCTATTGACTAGTTGCTCAAATTGGGCTGTTAACTGGAGAACCTACAAGTCTTTTCGCCATATGGCCAGGTTTCTTAAAGCATGCCAGCTCGGTGCTAAAAGAGAATTCCAAATGTGAGTGTTCCAAGAGCCCCAGGTGGAAGCGTAAGGGTTCTTATGAACAAGCATCATTTCTTCCATATATTAATGGTCAAAATCGAGTCATAAGGATATCCCCATTTGAAGGGGGAAAAAAAACTACACAGGGCATGAAAACTGTTTTTCATTGAGGATTCAACTTTGGACACTGGCTATCACAGAGTCTGGATACAAGTTATATAACCACACTGGTTAAAAGAGAAGACCTAAAGAGAGTCTTCTAGGTGGAAATGAATTAAAAATAAAAATTCAGACTTGGTGGTAAAGGGAATTTTTACAATAAAGGGAATTTGGTTGGTGGGATGGCCGTTTTCACTTTGCTTTGTTTGGTTAGATTAAGGTCTGAGGTGAGATTCCTGAATTAGTACAGGAACTCAAATACTAGAGGGCTATGAGACATGAAACAAAGTATCTTAAGTGTGTGAAAAGGAATGAAATTATTCTGCAAATTCTGGAAAAGGGAGAAGTACTGTTGCTAACAACTATGAAACAAACCAAATATGCATTACTCTGTCATATAATACTTGTTAAAATCATAACCCACCAATATTTTTATGTACCTGATTTTATTTAATGAACTAATTTCTGGCCTCCCCACATTAGACAAAAGGGCTTTATATACATGCCAAAGCTAATTGGCAAATACGTATTCTTACAGCAAAACATTCTGTTGTGAGCAAGCTGGTTTCAGGGCATACACAGAAACTGGATGTGTAAATAGAAAGCAGTACAGAGGAGGACAGGTAGAGGATTGAGATTCCCTCTGCCATCCAAGTTGTACTGCTGAGTAAGCAGTTGTTGGTGAAGGTCAAGATGAGTGGTATATATTTAAGTCCTACCACATATTATAATTTCAAGCCAAAAGGCTAGATAAAATCATTCAGGGAGCAGGTGGAGACAGAGAAGAAAAGAAGGACAGAAATGTTTTACAATATTTATAATTTTGGAAGTTGAACAAGAAAGAGTTAAAAGAAGGAAGTGGTAGGGACATAGAAAAACTAGGAAGCATTTCAAGAAAAAAGGATTTATTAACTATTTCCAATTTTGTTGACATTTCAAATGAGAACCTTGAAATGAAAATCAGATTTAGCATCATTGATGTCATTATTAACAATAACAATAGTTGCTTTAGTTGTGCCATAGAGGCAAAAAATCCTTTTTGTCAGGGGTTCAAGAAAGAATGAGAGCAGAGTGATTGCAGAAAACCATAAATGTAAGATCTTTAGAAGAACTCTTTTCTAAAGGAAAGAGATTAAGGATCTTTCTAGATGAAAATGTAAACAACTTTTTTTTAAAAATAGTACTACATGATAATAGAAATGATTAAGCGGAAAGGGATTCATCTGATGCTACAGAAAAGAACATTTGCCAGGCTAGCTTGTGGTTCTTGGGGAGATGAAGATGAGGATACCCTCTTCCTATCCTCTCAGTTTTCTCAGTTAAATAGGAAGCCAGGTCATAAGATGAGAGTTAAGTTGGAGGAAGGGTTTGAGAGTTAAGAAAAAAGGAGGTGTGGAATTGTCATCTCAAAAAGTTATCTAAGAGAGTGGAAGAATGAGTCGACTAGGGAAATGGAGGAGTTTGACAAATTTGTCATGTTATGAATAGCGGTAATATGAGCATTTGAAGGAAATTTACTAAGTTTCATAGGCCAATACTGGTTTATGATGCAATCTAATAACAATTAGGTATGAATGATACAATATACTAATTATGCCTTGTCCTATGATATAACATAATACTACAATAAAAACAATGAGCAAAAGCTCAGTGCTAATTATATGTTAGGCCCTAATGTAAGTGTTCAATGTAATCCTGAAGGAAACTTCCAAAGGTAGATGCTGTTATAATCACCATTTTATGTTGTAGGAAACTGAGGCACTGGACAGTTACACAACTTCCAAATTACAAAGGCAGAATGTGACTTAAACATACCAGGTTGAAAGCATCTGTTCCTTTTCTCTATGATGAGTTTGTATCTAATGGAATAAAAAAGAACACATTTATATTTCAGCAGACTTAAATATGCTCTGTAACAGGGTTATCTTAAACTTAGAGTCACTTAAAACAAACAAACATGGGATTATAACTAAGGATTAGAAGTTTAAAAAAAATCATTATCAAACTTTCAGTAATGAAGCTTCTCTATTCTCTTAGCATAGCCATTTAAATGTTCTTCTTTTCTATTTATGTTAATAACTGCTTAGTTCAATCAAAGCTATTATAAAATTAGTTCTGTTTATTTACATAAAAAGTAAAGAATTAAAATCAAACAATACAGACAAACAGAGTTCTATTTTATATTTGCAAATTTGCATGAGATTCTAGTCAACTATGTATCTAAACTTATTTCATTATTCTTTACATTATTTTTCTCATATTAATCTTACTTCTAAGGTCTAATAGTCAGTGTAGACCTGTAAATCATTACATGGTTATGATGAGGCACTGACTAGCATCATTCTTCTTCCCAGGCCTCAGCCGTAAGAATCATTAATAACCTGAAAATGTGGAGGTTATCTCTCACCATACACAAAGGTAATGTGAAGATGTATATGAATGACCTTAAAAGAAGTCAGCCTTGTCTTTGACTGTTTGCATTAATTTGTGATATAGACTATATAAATGTGATATAGACTAAGATGCCTTTAAATGTTAGGAGGCATGCATCTTGGAAAATACAATAGACATTTTATTCAATTCATACTGCCATAGCAACAATTCATGAAACTCTAAAACCTGCTATCACAGCCAAGAAAGCCATCCTTAGAACAAACTGCTCCAAAGAAAATTCATCTGTTCTGTGCTAAAAACGGTGAGATTCTAATGAGAATGTATCTGCTGATCAAAAACCTATTTCTACCATTATCTAAGCACCATATGGCATAGCATTCACAATAATTTTAACGTTTGTATTACCCTACTGTAGCCAGCTTACCTTTGCTTCTCATTTAAAAGGAAGGGAAAATTCCTAAATCTATCCACAAAAGGTAAATATTGAAATAAGAAATCTTTGTACCATTACCACTGTTTGTGCTCCCCTACTAAGTGTATACTTTTTATGCACACCAGGTAAAGTAAGAATTAGGGCATCAGCATCAGTGGCATGACGTTTTGTTTATCCTTGAGGAGCTAAGTATAATACCAAAAATATTGAAGTTAATTTTTGTATAATGTATTCAGAATTGTTGTCATAAATGGACCATTGCTGTTTATACAGAAGCATGATTGAATTACCTTATTTCACATACAAACACTGCACCATAGATGCAGATTTTCATATTTAACGTCTCTGGAAATTCAATAAGCAGAAGAACCAAGTGATTTTGACATCAGTTATTTAAAGTCTTTGCCAATGTACAAAAGAGAAAACAGAGGATTATTTAAAAACAATAACTTAAATATACTGCACATTGGAAGACATGATAGCACTTGAATCCAGCTGCCCTTTGAAGAGATGAGTTATGTTGCAGATGGCTCCCATTCACCAAGATTCCTCTGTTTATGATGCTGCAGGTGGTAGACTAGGACACTGGAACAGGGGTGGAAAGATTAGAGCTATATAATTCTCTCAGCGGTAAGTTCAATGAAATTAAATCAAGTTCCCAGCCTTCATTCCTTATCAGTAATGCCATCTAAAGTGACATGGAAAATTTCATTTTGATGAGTATTAAACTTAGTGTATGATGTCAGTTTTCCTTAATTTAGCCTACTAGTCCAAAGAAAATAGCTGCATTATTCACAGTTAAAATGGAAATACAGTTTAGAATAGTGGGTACGACTAAAATATGCAGTTTAATGCACTTATACAGACCTTATGACAACCATCTCTAGACATTTATCTTGAAATAAAAAGAACTCATATAATTAGCTTGGTGATTAGGAATAAATTAAAATTAGATTGTGGATCAGTCAAGATAGACCAGATAACAACCAACCTCAAATCTCAGTGGCTTGCAACAATAAAAATTTATTTTATGATTACTCTAGATATAAAGCATACATTCACAAGAAACAATCTTATCAGAGTCACCTAAGATCCAGGCAGACACAGTGTCACCCTCTTAAGATGATGCTGCCCTCTCAATGTATGATGTATGCCTCTACTAATTAAACACTTCAGCCCAGAAATGACACACTCTAACCCCGGTCATATTTAATAGCAAAACAAATAACATGCCCATGTCTAACTTCATCAGCCTCAGTAAGTGAAATTCTTCTCTGTGCCCGGAGGGAGAACAGACCTGATATGTTAGTGGCCAGTACCACCATTACTACAGATACAAATCTCAGCACAGTATGATACAGCTACAGTGCCCAAGCTATGATATAATAATTTGCCTGATTTTTCATTATCTTTTCTGAAAAGCCCTTACAAATGCCTTCCATTTTCAAGCACTACAATGCTAGAAAATACAGAGAAAATTTGAGAATATAGTTAAAGTAATGGAGGGAAGAATGATGTAATTTCAGAGAAAAATTGTGACCATTGAGACTTGAGGTAAGTTTTAGAATACTAGTATATAAACAGATGTTGAAAGTAGAGAGAAAGGGATAAACAATGTCGCTGTCATAATTAGACATTTTGACAATATTGTTGTTAAATAAACTTTCCTAAATTTTATGTAACAGTTTCAAATTCTCGCATTGAACACATTGGCTCATCTATTATTTTCCTAAATGTCTTTAATGTAACCATTCAAAAACAGGATGACAAAGTTAATAGAATGCATTTATACTCATCTGGGGACTTAGAGTCTAAAAGGAACTATTGCAAAAAAATTTGACTTGTAGATTCCATTCCCTTGTTCAATTAGGTTAAAAAAGTTTAAAAAGATGAGAACTGTGAGGCTTAGGAGAAAACATGCACAAAACTATCAAGGAAGCTGTTAAACTTACTGTCACTGACCTAGCCTAGCAAAGTTGGCTTTTATTAAATGGCAGCTGTGCTTGATTAAAAAATTATGACTCCCCTCAGGAATCATAGGGGTCATTAAAAACCAAGTCATAAAAGCCCCTGCTCCCTAAAGGCCCACTGACAGAGAACACTTCAGATTTCCTTAGTGTAATTTAACTTTAACTACCATAATACCCAACACGTACTTAAAAGATTTTTAAAAATTGTCATTTTATCCTTTACGTACCTACATCAAATTGTTAAATAATTAGATTAAATTAATATTTGAAAAATACAAATGATCTGAATTATAAATCTGGTCTGATACTTGGTCACCTTAAATCAGCCTTTTTTCAGATCCATTAGTGCCTTTTCAACCAAAGTGTTTTAAATGAGTATTTTCATATGTTTTACTTACCTTAGTAGTTTTAAAAGTGATCAAATAAGAAACTAATAGATCATCTGAGAGAAAGCAATCTATAAAAGTGCATAGATTTACCAGATGTTAGACATACATGGGTTTTTAGATATCTTCTTAATCTTAGCTTTAGAGATAATGTTTGCAAACATTGTTATTTGTGTGTATGTGTATGTGCATGTATGGTTCTCTTTGGAAGGAGATTATTAACTTTTTCTTACTGTTTTAGTCTTTCTCTCTGACATCCTTCCCCAAAGTTGCTCTTTTCCAACTCTAGTTGCATAAAAGCTGACAGTTGGTTACAATTATTCAGATAATTTACAGAAAGCCAACAATATCATTAATATAATAGACCAGAAAGTCCTTCAGAGCCATCCTTGTAATGTCAAGGCAGAGTTTCAATGTGATAGTCACTGTTATTGTTAAAGTTCAGATGTATAAATTTGGGCTTCAATATGTATTGCGGGGAAACACAAGGACACTAGGAGTGCTATACTTCCGTGGCCCAGTGATTTCTTCAGCTCATCACTGGGACTTTAATATAGCAACTAGCTATATCTTTTTAAGAGACTTTGGTTGTCCTCCAGACAACATTAAATATTTAGAAATACTACATTAACATTTTCATAAATGTGAAGAATCTATTATTTCTCTGTTTACATAATATTTCTTGAATTGTAAATAAATGATTTTAATAAATATTTATATGTATATTAAATTTACATGTTTATAAATTTAATTAAATTTATACATATGAAATATATTTATACATAAAAATATTTTCAGCATGCTACAAGTCATTTGATGTTATAAATTTCATAAGCTTATTGTTTTCAATGCCATATAGTATGTATTTGTATTTATTTTGTAGTTAAGACTTAAGGGAAGATTCCAATGTTTATATTAGTTGAATATTTGCTGAATTAGTTTGTTTTCTATCTATCTATCTATCTGTCTATCTATCTATCTATCAATCATCTATCTACCCACCTACCTACCTATCTTTCAAGAAACAGAAAGCATTGATTGTATTCCTCCTTACCTTCACCTTAAGACTAGAGTTCTTATTGTTTAATTTTTAAATGCAGAGACTGTGCCCTTGACTATGTTAACATTTACTTCTAAAACTTTTCTAGGTTTTTATTGAAATAACTTTCTTAAATTACAAACACTTGGGTTGCAAAGAGCATTTTGGATATAGTGCAATCTTGCTTTTTTATAAGGATAACTAAATATTTGTTAATTATTTCCCAATGTAATTATTATGTTCTAGTTCAAGTGTCTTTGAAGTTTGTAAAGTTGATTATATCGTATGATTATTTTAATCAGCCATGCTTACTAAGGTAAATCTCTTAAACATTTTGACCTTTATGTCGTCAGAAAAATAAACTAAATGAAATCAATATGCCTTTCACAACTAACCATTTTCAATGCTGTAACTTAAGTTGAAAGAGAATTGTCTTTCAAATTATGAACAATATTGAGGCTCAAATTTAATTGCCATTTACTATGAGCAAAAGACCTGAACAATCATCAACAAAGAAGATATACAAATGGTAATTAATCACATTGGAAGAAGTTCAGTACCAGATGTCATTAGAAAACTACAAATTTAAATAATGAGATAGTACTGCCTGCCTATTAGAACAGCCAAAATGCAACACAATGACAACAGCAAATGCTGATAAGGATGTAGAGCAACAAGAGCTCTCATTCATTGCTGGTAGAAATGCAAAATGGCATAGCCACTTTGAAAAATAAATAGATCATTTCTTAGAAAATTGAACATTCTCTTACCATTTGATTCACCAACTGTACTCCTTGGTGTTTATCCAAATGAATTGAAAAATTATGTCCACACAAAAATCTGCACACAAATGTTTATAGCAACTTTATTCATAATTGCCAAGACTTTCAAGCACCTGAGATGTTCTTCAGCAAGTGGAAGGATAATGAAACTGTGGTATGTCTGGATAAAGAAATAATACTCAGTGATAAAAAAAATAGCTTATCAAGCCTTGAAATTACATGTAAGAAATGCATATTCCTTAACTATATATGATTAAGTGAAAGAAGCAAGTCTGAAAATTCTACACGCTGTATGATTCCTACTCTATGACGTTCTGGAAAAGTCAAAAGTATGGAAAAAGCAAAAAGATCTGTGGTTTCCAAGCATTGTGGGGAGGGAGGAATAAATAGGCAGAGCACAAAGGATTTTTAGGGCACTGAAAGTAGTCTGTATGATACCACAATGGTGGGCACATCACATTATACGTTTGTCAAACCCATAGAATGGATGATTCCGAGAGTGGACTATGGATTTGGGGTGATAAACATGTGTCTATGTATGTTCAAAGGTTGTAACAAGTGTGCCACTGTGGTGCAGGATGTAGCTAGTGTAAGAGGTTGTGTGCATAGGTAGAGATGGCTACATTGGAACGCTGTATTTTCTGCTCATTTTTCCTATGAACTTAAAATTGCTCTAAAAATGAAGTTTATTGATTTAAAAACATCAGTAACACTTGACTATTAAATATAAAATTGTATAAAAGTAATAATATCTGCTGTTGATTATGTTGTATGGACATTGGAATATGTATACACTATTTTTTGGAGTATAAATTGGTACATTATTTCTGGCAGTATATTTGGCAAATAACAGTGAGCATTTTAAAGTGACTACTCTTTGCCAGGCATTGATATAGTCTCTTTACGTGTATTAATTGATTTAATTGTTTAAAAATTATTCTGAGGTAGCAAATATGTTTATTCCCATTTTGCAGATGAGAAAGTGGAGGCATAGGATGGTTAAGTAACTTGCCTTAGGTTACAGAGATATTAAGTGTCAACTCCAATTTCAGTCGAAGTGGTCTAAAGCTAAAGGCTATGGTTTTAACACTTAATTATAAACTACTTCGAATATAGGTAATAAAAATATACAATACACATGTCATTTGAACTAGCAGTCCTTTAAGGAAAGAGAGGATTGGGTGAAGACCTACGCACAAATATGTTCATGGGGTATTACTTAAAAGATCAAGTTATTGGAAACAACCTAAATGATCTACAAAAGGAGATGGTTACAAATAACTTTACATCCTTCAAATAAAATGCTGTGGAGATATTAAATATCATTCTACGATAGTTGAAAATGTAGAGATATATTCATGATATGCTTTTAAGAGAAAATTGCAGGTTATTGCACATTAGGTACTGTGTAAGCCTAATTTTGTATGTGTCTATGCTCAAATGTTAACTGTGATAATCCTAGGAAGCTAGAATTGTTAGTTATATTTTTCTTTTCTGTTGCTGTATTTTTGAGATTCTTTAGACACTTACTGCTTTTGTATCAGAATAAAATATTAATTGAAAATTTTCAATAAAGGCAGATCATGTTTTCCAATTTCTGATAAGAAGCCTTAAAAATAGTGTTTATTTATCCATAGTTATGCCCCTTTTCAATGCATTTTTAAATAGATTAACAAATTAGAGAAAAATGACACATTGTAGCCTAGTACAAAAAACAAAACAAAACAAAGCATTCTGCCTATTCAATGAAATTTCTGACCACAGAGTGACAGAATGCTGATCATGGTTTGGTTTATCCCCTAAGGATGCTGCCCCTACCAGATAGTGAGTTTTCAGTGAGAGTTTGGGATACCTAATGTGCAAACTTCATTTTGAAAATAGAAGCAATGTGGAGAAACAAAGTGAATAAAGCTAAATATTGCTGGTTCCATTTTATGCTTATAGCAAAACCCTTGGATTCTCAATTGATACACCATTAATTTTAGTAACATTATGGATCAAAAAGAGTCATTTGTATATCTCTGTCCTGAAAGCCAGTGGTAAATTGCAAAAGTGATCATTAAAGGATTAAAATATGTTGCTATAGCAACTTCTTATCATATAAGAAGTGTTAGTACAACTAGGGTATACCAGAAATGGGTTAGAAATGGTCTGTGATTTTAAAAAGTAGGCTTTTTTTTTTTGCACTTTAGGATTAGTGTGTTACAGATATTTTATTACATTGAAATATAAAGAAAAGAAAAATATATACCTTTTTGTTATAATTCTGAAACGTGACCACCTACATATTTATTGGAACTTTAATTTTGTAAGTGCAATGGGACAATGTCTTGCAAATACATTTTATTCAGTAAATAAATAAATTGGGGAGGTTCAACATGAAGCATGATTTAATGCTTAATGACTTATTTTTCTAGTTCTAGTTATATATAATAAGGAAGGAGGAAAAATAAATACATAATGAATGCTTTTCAACTTCCACTGTTGCTTTTGCTACTATGACCAGAGACTACTTAATGCCCAGGCTCTACCCTCCTGTGTTTGCTCCCCGACCTTTGTTCAATTCTATCGTCTGGTACTATCTTTCTCTTGCTTTGGGGCCCTTATTATTAGGCCTTAGTCTTTGTTTGTATGAGGTTTTAGAGTTAGTCTTGAGCACTGAGTCTGTATTAACATGCACAGAATGCATAAATATACTCTGCACAATATGATCTGTGCCTAGCTGATGCTGCAGACCCCTGCCTTCCTTATCTGCATGCTCATTACCTCTATGTGTGTAGATATCTGAGGCCCCACATCGTTTCTGCAATATCAGTGCTATTTCTGGCTGATTTTGATAATGAGAGGGATGTTTAAATTATTCTCTGGCTGAAAGTGTCTTTATTCAGTTGTTCAACAAATTTGTATTGTGTCTAGTATGTGTTAGGTTGCAGTGAAGAAAACAGATGTTATCTGAACTCAAAAGGATTAAAATCTAGTGATGAATAAGGAAATAAACATATGATAAGTACTTTTTTGAAGTTATATAAAGAAAAATATTAAGTGATAGAGAAGGAAATGTGATACCTATTTAACCAAAGTAGTAGGGAAAGACTTTGTTCAGAAATAATTTTAAACTGAGGCTTGAAGGATAAAGAGCCAGCTATGAAAATAGCGAAAGAGAGAAAAATCTCCCAGACAGAAGATACTGCATGTGCCAAGGTCCTGAGTTGGGAAAAAGCTTGGCATATACATTGGAGGAAGAGAATGGAAGCTGCTTTCTAAGTAAGAGTAAAATGGGAGAAAAGTGGGACACAATAAGGTAGGAGGGCTAGATACAGACAAATCCATTCGAGGAATTTAGGATTTGATTTGGGATGTGAAGGGAGGGCAGGGACAGATTTAGGTAGGTAAATGATTTGAACAGATTTAAGTTTTTGTTGTTGTTATTGTTTTGTTTTTGAGATGGAGTCTCGTTCTGTTGCCCATACTGGAGTGCAGTGGCGCAATCTTGGCTCACTGCAACCTCTGCCTCCCGGGTTCAAGTAATTCCCCTGCCTCACCTCTCAAGTAGCTGGGATTACAGGCACACACCACCACGCCTGGCTAATTTTTTTTTTTTTGTATTTTTATTAGAGACGGGGTTTCACCGTGTTGGCCAGACTCTTCTCGAACTCCTGACATCAGGCAATCAGCTCGCCTCAGCCTCCCAAAGTGCTGGGATTACAGATATGAGCGACCACGCCCGGCCAGATTTAAGTTTTTAAAAGATTATTCTGAAGCAGTGTGGAGAATACACTGGAGGAAACCGGGAAGTTCCATGTGAAGGTTACTGTGATACCCTAGGTGAGCAGCGTTGGAGAATTGGATGAGAACACAAGAGGAGAGACAGACAGTAATAGAGTCAAGAAATATAAAGCAGAATAATAAAGCTTGCTGATGGATTGGAGGTAAGGGTGATGAAAAGGAAGTACAATGATTAACAATAACTGCAAACTGGCTATATGGCAATGCCATTTACTGAGATGCGGAAAAATACATATTTGTAGTGTTAGAGATTTTAAATATATTTTGACAGGGTGTTGATACATCTAAGTGGAAATATCCAATAAGAAGTTGTTTCAGATGGTATTTAAAATCCTGGGACTAAGACCATCTAAGAAGAGAACAGAGATAGGAAAGAAGGTATATGCCTTAACCCAGCAGGATAACAACATTTAATAAGCATAATGAAGAAAAAGGTGCTTATGAGAAAGAAACACAACTAAAAGCCTGAGATGAAAAAGGAAAATGAGAAAAATGTAATGTCATGGAAATCAAAAGATTATAGAGAGTTGAGGAATGGAGAACTAACTTAATCATGTGCAGCTAATGTAGTATGATGGTAGAAAAGTATCTCTGTGACTTGAGAACAAGCACGGTGTGTAGTAGGTGCAATTTTAAACAAATAGCACAAGGAAAAACTGCGTTGAAAATTAATGCAAGTTTTGGATGTAACCATGATGTCCTTTTGTAGGTGAATGATAAAACTGTGGTACATCCATACAATGGAACATTATTTAGTGGCTATAAAAAGCTAAAAACAAATGAGCTAGCAATCCATAAAAAGATATGGAGGAAAACTAATTTCATTTTACTAAGTGGAAGAAACCAATCTTAAAAAGTTACATACTGTTTGATTGCAACTATATGAAATTCTGGAAAAGGCAAAAGTATGGGGAAAGTAAAAAGATTAATGGTTTCCATGGTTTAGGGACAGAGCACAGAGGATGTTAGGGTAATCAACATATTCTGTATACAGTGATGAATCATGTCATCATAAATTTGTCCAAACCCATACAACAAACAACACCAAGAGTAAACCCTAATGCAAATTATGGATTCTGGGTGATAATGATGTGTCAAAGTGGGTTCATCAATTGCAACAAATGTACTACTCTGGTGGGGGATACTGATAATGGAAGAGTCTATGCATATGTGGGTGCAGGGGGTATAAGGGAATTTTTTTTTTTTTTTGAGACAGAGTCTCACTCTGTACGCCAGGCTGGAGTGCAATGGTACGATCTCAGTTCATTGCAACCTCTGCCTTCTGGGTTCAAGAGATTCTCGTGCTTCAGCCTCCAGAGTTGCTGGGATTACAGGCGCCCACCATCACGCCTGGTTAATTTTTGTATTTTTAGAAGAGACTGGATTTCAGCATGTTGGCCAGGCTGGTCTCAAACCCCTTACCTCAGGTGATCCTCCCACCTTGGCCTCCCAAAGTGCTGGAATTACAGGCATGAGCCATTGCGCTCAGCCAGTATACAGGAAATTTCTATACTTCAGCTCAAATGTGATGCAAATCTAAAACTGCTCTAGAAAATGTAGTCTATTAAAAATACAAGCTGGCCGGGTGCGGTGGCTCACGCCTGTAATCCCAGCACTTTGGGAGGCCGAGGCGGGTGGATCATGAGGTCAGGAGATCGAGACCATCCTGGCTAACAAGGTGAAACCCCGTCTCTACTAAAAATACAAAAAATTAGCCGGGCGCGGTGGCGGGCGCCTGTAGTCCCAGCTACTCGGGAGGCTGAGGCAGGAGAATGGCGTGAACCCGGGAAGCGGAGCTTGCAGTGAGCCGAGATTGCGCCACTGCAGTCCGCAGTCCGGCCTGGGCGACAGAGCGAGACTCCGTCTCAAAAAAAAAAAAAAATAAAAAATAAAAAAAATACAAGCTTAGCAAGTAGAGAAAAATGGATATAATCTTTTTTGAAATTTGTCTTTTATAGAGAATGGAAAAATGAGAGTGTAATTTAAGCATTATGAGAGTTAGAATGAAATATAGGAGAACATGTTGACTAAATATTAGAAAATTTTGTAATGGAAGAAATGCAAGGGAGATCACATGCTTTGAAAAATTATAGAGGAAAAGAATTGCTAGCCAATTTGCAAGGAGTGGCCTTTGAAAACAGGTAACTTTTTTCTCCATTAATAATTTCATTTTTGATCTTAAAAGTCTTCCTAGAAAACTGATGGTTTGGCTTAGCTATCATAGCCTGCTCCTAGGCTGTGATGTCACTTAGCTGCTGCTAAGCAACCTGACCTTTTTCTGGGTATGATAGTTTGGAGCAATACTACCTTTTCACTTAAGCTTTTTTCATAGGTCCCTCCTCATAGACTGGAACATGCATCTTTGGGTTGCAGCATAAGCTTTCTTATTCCTCAACCACCTTGTGTTCAGAGTTATATTGTCCTTTATGTATAGAGGACATTGTCCTCTACACATTATAGAGGAGCTATATTGTACGTTAGGTGTACAGTGGATTATTATAAGAATGTTTTTCTTTGTCAATTAGCTTGAAAAATTTGATCTGCAACATACTGGCCCATGGTATGCTTACAATATAGTTTCATATTGAACTCTTGACTTTGAGAAACAGAACCAGGGAATAATTTGATTTTGTGAGGGATGGAAAAGAATCCATGGAAGCCAAAATACTTTATTTCCTGTGGTAGTTTTGGCAAGCCCTGCATCCAAACAGTACATGAAAGTCCCAGAATTAACTATCAGAGCTTCCACATCATGTTCATCTTTGAGTGTATCCACTTAACCTTCATTGACCTTATTGTGCAAAACCTTCAAAAAGCCCGTGGGCCAAAAGGAGGTCAGAATAACACGCTGCTGGATACTTTGTCAGACAATCCTTATTGTTTAGTTTGGAAGTGTATAAACTTTAGTGCAGTCTCTCACACCTCCCTCCACACAGACATATGCAATCTAACAAACAATATCTCTTTTGGTAGCATAAATTATCATCTCCAATTTTGGTGTGTTTTACAATCTTATCCTGGACTACTAAGGGCTTCTAAGCATAAATCAGTTTTACTCTCTTCTCTTCCCTTCAATTTCTTGGTACTTCTTGAAATAGCCATATTCTTCACAAATTTAATAAGCCATGTCCTGCCACACAGAGAGCCACATCTGGCTCTGCACAACATTAGTGAAATATATTATAGCAAAAGGAATAAAGAAGACCAGTAAGCATATGGTCAGCACTGGAGATTTGTTGATAATAAAATGTGAGTGGTGCCTTCTGGTGATTTCTTTTCTAAATTTTTCCATTTGGATTACAAGAGAAAAATGGATCTACCACTGGGAAGAACCTCAAGTGACTGTCTAGGAGGATTAGCTCAGAAATTGTGTAGGGTGAATATTTACCACCTTAAGCCCAAATTTCAGAGACATGGCAATTTTTGGATGAAATAAACTGTTAAAGATAAGGGATTTTAACTTAAGTGGAAAAAAAAGCAGTACTGTAAAAATTGAGTTATAGTTAACTATATACATATTGAAATATTTAGGTGGAAGCATATGATGTCTGAAACTTTTAAATGCACCAATAAAAAAGATAGATTGATTGAAATTAGAGTGCTCCATTCACCAGTGATAAAACAAGTAGAAGACAATGGCAGTTAGAGAATTGTAGGAGATGGGTATGTGGGTATGCCACTGTTTACAAAGCTCTTTAAATTTTTCCATGTATTTGTAATATTTTCTATTAAAATCTTGGGAAAATAAAGCAAATGCATATTCTAAAAGAAATTAAGAGATTTATTTAGGCAAAGTTTAAGATTTCTTATGCTGAGATACATTTTACCCTTGCCCCAGTAGTTGTCACTGGTTTAACTCCATTTCTATAACTTGAAAAATTTAATGTCTCCAAATCCATTTTTTAAAAAAATTTAGATATGTAAAGCAAAAAAGGAGATTTAGATTTTCTTGATCAATAAAGTCACATACATTGATCGATGAACTACTGGGCATACACAGTCAACTTGATTTGATTTGGCTGTTATTTGGAAGAAAAGGCAACTGTCCACGTGTCTCCACCCTCAGGCACAAAGCTGGAGATTTGACCACTATTGGAAAGGATATGTTTACTAGATAGTGATGCCTATGGAACGGTGGAAACATAAGGCTCTAACTTAGAACTTTGCAGGCTAATTCAGAGGCAACATTATGAGTTTACTAAACTGTGTCTTTGTTTCCATTAATAAGAAAAATTCTTTTTTGCAACCCTATTATTTATACCTCTTATCTGCAAAAGAGTCCCCTAACCTGTCTTTTCAGAAAAAATAAGAATTACCATGTCCTGTTATGTTAAAAAATTGTTTGTGTTCTTTGTAGAAAAAAATGAGAAAATAAAGAGATGTAAAAATAAAGTATAATCTCAATAACGGAGCCCATCATTTTTCACATTTTTAACTATATTTTTCCATATTTTAGTGTATATATTCCAAATACATGGAAATACATTATAAAGTCATTATTTATTAATTATATTTTTCTCTTAGTTTAATAGAAAGAAAATGCAAGAATCGAATGGAGATAGAGGCTAAAATTATGTATCTGCAGGAGGAATTTATTTAGCTGCATTTAAGCAGTAATTTTGACAATGCTGGTCTTCTCCAAAGTACAAGTGAGAAGTGACAGCGTGCTGGCAACCCTCGCAGCCCTGGCATACTCTTGGTGCCACCTCAGTCTTGGCGCCCACTGTGGCCACGCTTGAGGAGCCCTTCAACCCACCGCTGCACTGTGGAAGCCCCTCCCTGGGCTGGCCAAGGCCGGATCCTGCTCCCTCAGCTTGCAGGGAGGTGTGGAGGGAGAGGCACTGGCGGGAACTGGGGCTGCGCACGGAACTTGCGGGCCAGCGCGAGTTCTGGGTGGGCGTGGGCTCAGCGGCCTGCACTCGGAGCGGCTGGCTGGCGCCGTGAGCCTGGGGCAGTGAGGGGCTTAGCACCCAGGCCAGCAGCTGCGGAGGGTGCACCGAGTCCCCTAGCAGGGCCGGCCTACCAGCGCTGCGCTCAAATTCTCACTGGGCCTCAGCTGCCTCCCTGCATGGCAGGGCTTGGGACCTGCAGCCTGCCATGCCTCCCTCCCACCCTCTCCCGCAGGTTCCTGCACAGCCTGAGCCTCCCCGAGGAGGCCGCCCCCTACTCCACAGCCCCGGGTCCCATCGACCGCCCAAGGGCTGAGTACAGCCGCACAGTGTGGGACTGGTGGGCAGCTCCACCTGCAGCCCAGTGCGGGATCCACTAGGTGAAGCCAGCTGGGACTTGGAGAACTTTTATGACTAGCTAGAGGATTGTAAATACACCAATCAGCACCCTGTGTCTAGCTCAAGGTTTGAAAATGCACCAATCAGCACCCTGTGTCTAGCTCAGGGTTTGTAAATGCACCAATCAGTGCTCTGTGTCTAGCTGATCTGGTGGGGACTTGGAGAACCTTTATGTCTAGCTAAGGGATTTTGAATGCACCAATCAGCACTCTGTGTCTAGCTCAAGGTTTGTGAATGCACCAATCAGCACCCTGTGTCTAGCTCAGGGTTTGTAAATGCACCAATCAGTGCTCTGTGTCTAGCTGATCTGGTGGGGACTTGGAGAACCTTTATGTCTCGCTAAGGGATTGTGAATGCGCCAATCAGCACTCTGTCTAGCTTAGGGTTTGTAAATGCACCAATCAGTGCTCTGTGTCTAGCTAATCTAGTGGAGACTTGGAGAACTTTTGTGTCTAGCTCAGGGATTTTAAACGCACCAATCAGCACCCTGTCAAAACAGACCAATCAACTCTCTGTAAAACAGACCAATCAGCTCTCTGTAAAATGGACCAATCAGCAGGATGAGGGTGGGGCCAGATAAGGGAATAAAAGCAGGCTGCCCAAGCCAGCAGTGGCAACCTGCTCGGGTCCCTTTCCACACTGTGGAGGTTTTGTTCTTTTGCTCTTAGCAATAAATCTTGCTGCTGCTCACTCTTTGGGTCTGCACTGCTTTTATGAGCTGTAACACTCACCACAAAGGTCTGCAGTTTCAGTCCTGAGCCAGTGAGACCACGAACCCACCAGAAGGAAGGAACTCCGAACACATCTGAACATCAGAAGGAACAAACTCTGGACACGCCACCTTTAAGAACTGTAACACTCACTGTGAGGGTCAGCGGCTTCTTTCTTGAAGTCAGTGAGATCAAGAACCCACCAATTCCGGACACACAAGCATGAAGTGTTTATCTGAAATTTGAGATACAATGATCAATTTTGCAGTAAGTTTACTTGCTGGAAATTGATTTCCTTTATATAACATGCAAATAAATACTTTAACTTTATATATTAATATTTTTATAATCTTGTAGATACATATAATGAAAACAAATGATGACCTTTCTACAGCTACTTCAACTAAAGAGTCATGCATATGTATCTTTTAGTTACTTGCCCAGTCATCTTTCTACTACAAAATCCTTGTAGATAAATTGTTAGACCAAAGATAATGCATGTTTATAAAAATCTCCTCTAAAAATAGTTGTTCAAATTTAACTTAGACTAACAATGAATATTAGTTTGTATTACCTCACCTTCAAGCAATACTAAGTACTATCCTTCTTTTAGTTTCTGACCTGAAAGACAACATTCCTCCAAACTTTTGAATGTTTTTACTTGTATTTATATATTTTTTATTTCAGAATTTGGTGTAAGACACCAAGTTAATAATATTTCTTAGTGTATGGCACACTATCTTCCTTGGCCCATGAAAGTTTCTTCATTCACGTTTTAAAATTTTTTTTTTCTTTTTTTTTTTTATTATACATTAAGTTTTAGGGTACATGTGCACATTGTGCAGGTTAGTTACATATGTATACATGTGCCATGCTGGTGCGCTGCACCCACTAACTCGTCATCTAGCATTAGGTATATCTCCCAATGCTATCCCTCCCCCCTCACCCCACCCCACAACAGTCCCCGGAGTGTGATATTCCCCTTCCTGTGTCCATGTGATCTCATTGTTCAATTCCCACCTATGAGTGAGAATATGCGGTGTTTGGTTTTTTGTTCTTGCGATAGTTTACTGAGAATGATGTTTTCCAATTTCATCCATGTCCCTACAAAGGACATGAACTCATCATTTTTTATGGCTGCATAGTATTCCATGGTGTATATGTGCCACATTTTCTTAATCCAGTCTATCATTGTTGGACATTTGGGTTGGTTCCAAGTCTTTGCTACTGTGAATAATGCCACAATAAACATACGTGTGCATGTGTCTTTATAGCAGCATGATTTAAATTTAAATAAAGTAATCCACCCTCTCCTTCCTTATTCTTTGCTTTTACTCATACACCTTTCTAATTAGACAACTCTTCTGTTTATTTTGTATTCTTTATTTATTGTTTTATGTTTTTTGTGTGTGCTTATAAATTTTATTTTATTTTTTTTTACTTAGCCATATGTTTTTATGACCTATCAACATTTCTGTTTTTGTTATTGCTTCTTCTAACCACTGTGCTCCACAGTGAAATTCCATCACATTTTACTCACACAGTTTTTTGGTGTTTGAACCAAGGTTATATCCAAAACCCATGACTTCAAATGATGTTCCTCGGAGACATATGCCCCGGAGCAGCTGTACAGACTTCTAAGCTGGAAACTGTTGCAACATCCACATTCCCTCAGTGTGGGATGAGGGCTCCAAAATCCACACTTCCTGTCGATGAGATCTCTGCCATTCTCATGGCGATAAGAAGGCAGAAGAGTGAAGTGCTTTCTCGTATGACAATTCAAGACATTATTAGATTTCAAAATGAGTTCATGTAAGAAAATCCTTTAAAAAGTGCCCTAGCCCATAGTAAGTGCTTAATAAATTAACATTATTAATATGTTGCTTTCATTGCAATAAACAATTAAAAATATAAACAGAAAAAACTTTTCTGAATAGATAAAATAAATTAAACATGGCCTCTGTCCCTTCTTATTTTCAACACAAATGATTTTGCATAAGTCAGCATATCCGGTTGATCAAGGTTTCACATTCTGAGTATTTCATATTAACATATCCTGTTTTAAATTGCACATTAAAGTCTTTTTTGACATTATTACCAGACTCAAATAAACTTTAAATCTGCATTTGAAACACTGGCTGTAATGCCATACTCTCTTAATCTTCCTTCGTTTCTTGACACTGAGAAAGACTAAATTAATATATTTGGAAAAATGCCCAACTAGAAACAGATTTAGAAATATGTAAGTTGTTCTAATATAATATTTAAAGTACTTAAAGTTATCTTCTTCTGTGAAATTTAAGATGATAGTTCATATATTTTCTTTGATCAAACCAGGAAACATTTTCCATACAAATTTGAGTTACTATTAAAAATATTACATTTATTTATGTTATGTTGTTATATTTTAGTTTAATACTATATAGCAGTATACTATAAACTTGTATTATTATGAGCATATAATTGTTATAATTAAAATTAATATTATGAGAGATATTAAGAAATATGGTAACATATTTATCCCATTAAAAAAATTATCCTAATTTTCCTTCTTTTCATATTTTTCGAATCTCAACTTTTTAGTTTTAATGAGTTGTGTTTTATATATATAGTTATATATATGTATATGTATGACACACACAAGAAACTGATATATACCTATGTATTTATTTAATATAATATGAGATATTAAATCTTGGTTAATGATGCAACAAAAGGTGTCATATTAGTGAAGACAGGCCAGGTTAAGTCAGCAGTTTAACAAAACAATAGCTTATTTCTAAGTCATACTAAACGTCTCATGTGGGTCTGTGGGCTTTGCTCATAGCCGTCATTCAATAAGTCAGCCTGATTCTGGTTCCATCATTACTTGGTGTTTCCCAACCCATGAGCTGTGTCTTCTACCCCCATCCCTTAAAGAAAAATGGAATCATCCCCAGTATTCCAGAATGTGACTGTATTTGAAAAAAGCGTGGTTGTAGATATAACTAGTTAAGATTATGTCATACAATATCAGCATGGGCACCGAATCCAATATGACTGGTGTTCAAAGAAGACAGCAATGTGAAGACAAGACATCTAGGGAGAATGCCATGTGAAGACAAGAGAGTGACATTATATAGCTCCAAGCTGGTATGTCAAAGATTGCCAGCAAACCACCAGAGACTACAAAGAAGAAAGTGAATCCTTCCTTTTTTAAATTTCATACAAATGTCAATGTATGAGTGATATGGTTTGGTTCTGTGTCTCCACCCAAATCTCATCTTGAATTGTAATCCCCATGTGTGGAGGGAGGGATCAGGTGGGAGGTGATTGGATCATGGGGGCGATTTTCCCCATGCTATTTGTGATGGTGAGGGAGTTCTTACAAGATCTGATGGTTTTAAAGTGGCAGTTTCTCCTGCATGCTCTCTCTCTCTCCATGCTTGCTCTCTCTCTCTCTCTTTCTCTCTCCTGCCGCATTGTGAAGAAGGTATTTGCTTCTCCCTCACCTTATGCCATGATTGTAAGTTTATTTTTCTGAGGTCTCCTCAGCCATGTGGAAACTGTGAGTCAATTCAACCTCTTTCCTTTATAAATTACCCAGTCTCAGGTAGTATCTTCATAGCAGTGTGAGAACAGACTAATATGACAAATATCTAGAATAATCCTTTCATCCTGGAAGAAAACTGGGATTTTAGAGGGTTTTATACTATGTTATGTCCCTAAGCTGGAATTATATTTTATAGACCATTCTAAGAAGTTACACTACATCACAAAAGAAATGTCCATGAGATTCGAAGAGAAGTAGAGCAGCAGCCATAATTCTCTGATAGTGCAGGGCACCAGGCTTTCTTGCCTCTCACATATAGTATCTTTAACTTTCTAATTCACCTCATGGGTGTGGGGTAGCAGTTCTCCAGTCAGAGCAGGGGCTTATGGAGTTCAGGTGTCAGTGAAGTTTCAAGACTGGTCCACTCTACAGTGGGCCCAGTGTGTCCTTGAGCCCACCCTCAATAATCCACTGGTTATAGCCCCATTCCAGAAGGCAAACTTAGAATAGACATACATAGCAATTGGAATAATAAGAAGTTAGCACATTTGCTGAATTAAATATTAAAAGAATGAATGGTATATTTAGACATAAATAATTAGTTAAAATATTAATGAAACATATATGCCAAAAATATGAAGGCATAAATAAATCTAATAAAAGTATAAAAATTGTGGTACATATACACCATGGAATACTATGCAGTCATAAAAAAGAATGAGATCATGTCCTTTGCATGGACATGGATGGAGCTGGAGGCCATTATCCTTAGTAAACTAACACAGGAACAGAACAGAAAACTGAACATATCATGTTCTTATTAATAAGTGGGAGCTAAACAATGAGAACACATGGACACAGAGAGGGAAACAACACACACTGTGCCCTATTGGAGGGTGGAGGGTGGGAGGAGGGAGAGGATCGGGAAAAACAACTAATGGATACCAGGCTTAATACCTGGGCGATGAAATAATATGTACAACAAACCCCCATGACAAAAGTTTACCTATATAACAAACCTGCACATGTACCCCTGAACTTAAAATATAAGTTAAAAAAGATATATATATATATATAAATTTTCCACAGATAAAGTAGTATTTTAATAACTGTCAATTAGAAAATGGAGATGGATATTTATGGATTTTAAAAATCAATATTGCACTTATCAATTTTTAATTTTCCGTCAACCCAATAAGAAAAATAGTTGGTTCTGAACTTTATATGGAAATGCAAAGGGCCAAGATACTTTCTAAGGTGTTCAAGGTGAAAGATTTTCTTGAAAGAAAGCAAACATTGATAAAGCCAAAATAATTGAGAACATGTGATATTGCTACAGGATATAGAAATAAACCAATATAAGAGAATGGAGATTCTAGATACAAATCTGTAAATACATGATCACTTAAAGAGAAAGATAGCATCTCAGTTTATGGGAAATATGGCTTTTAAATCAATGTATTGTTACCCTTAGTTATCCATATATGATAAAAGACAATTTGGTCCATAATGTAAAATAATATAGCAGACTATTTTATAACCTTGGTGCAGGGAATGATTTATTAATACATATAAAATGCACTAATAATAAAGCCATAATAAAAGTAAGTGTTAAGAAATTTGAAAACATTAGAACAAAAGATTTGTTCTTAACAAAAGACACAGTTATACTTCTTAATACAAATTCATGAGCCAAGCCACAGAATGGGAAATCAGATTGATAACACTTGATAAAAGGGGAAGTACTTGTATTCTGAATACACAGAGAACTACTATAGGTATATGAGGCAGTACAGTTTACTGCTAAAATAATAATAATAATAATAATATGAAGACTTAACAGGCAGTTTCTAAAACTAAATCTGTATATCCAAGAAACATATGGAAAGTCCTCAACACCTAGTTAGAAAATGCAGATTAAAAGCACATTGTTACTACAGTGTGCTTTTAATAACCACATTGTAACCAACAGATAAGAACATAATAATACTAAGCATAAGTGGCAAAGTGGAGTAAATAAAATGCTCATAAAGTTCCTGGAAGAAGTTCAAATTGACACAAACACTTTGGAAAAAATATTCACATTATCTCATATGTTTGAATAAACATGCCCCCTTACCCAGTAAATTTCACTCCTAGGTATATACCCTGTGGAAATGTATGCTTATATGTACAAAATAATTGCACAATTTTCATAGCAACTTTATTTCAAATGGTGCTAAACTGGAAGAAAACTTAATGTCAATAAGGAGCAGAACAGATAAATATATATAACATATTTACAATACGTAATACTATATACTAATGAAAATCAATGAATGTTCCCTAAACATTGTATTATATTAAGTGACAAAAGCCCTATGCAACATTTTACATGTTGTTATGATTTCTTTTATATATGTTTCAAAAATGAGTAAAGATATTTTAAAAATTAAGCATGCATGATTAGATAATACAACTTTATGAAAAAAATTAAAAATGTGTTTCATCATTTAATTTAATGCTGTTAACAAGTTCAGTGATGTGAAGATCACGAATTGAACAACAGCTCTAGTGAAGTGAAGATAAGTGTGGGTCTGAACAGGAAAGGGCTGAGGAGAGTGTCTCTAGAGAGTGGGAGTACCAAAGTCTGATGTAAGTTGGTTTGAGAAGAGGATTTGAAGAAACAACATATTTTAAATGAAAATGCTTCTGGATAAATTTACTTGAAATTATTTGTATTCTTTCATATCAAATCTGGCCCTTGTATTGTTTTTTCAGAACATTCTTAGCGTATGACCCGGGCATAGGGTACCGGTTAAGTTCTCCATTCTGGAAAGATGAGACGAAAGATTCACTGTTGCAGAGTCTGTCTAAGGTATGAGTGTCCCCTCTCTGGGACAGATTCCACTGCCATTCTTCCGACCACAAGAAGGAAACTTCAGACACCAAAGAAGAGGCACCAGTCAACTAATTAAACGGGAGGATTTTTTTCTATAAAATATAAAATTATATGAGTTTAAGTTTTCTTAGTTTCTGTTTTCTTCTACCAGTTCTAATAGTTTAAAAGTTGTGTATTTTATTTATATTCCAGTAGTTACTCATAAAACATTACCTAACATACTAAAATTATTGTTTCCTATTAATTATAGAACATTTTATTGAGATTGTCTTTGTAGAGATGCTTTGGCATTCTTGTCATCGACATTTTTAAATCATTTGGAATTTAATTGCATATTCTCATTTGAAAATACAATTTTTGAAATCAATATTTATTTAAAAATATATATTACTAACTTTTTTGCCTTAGAGCTTCTTAGAGAGAAGTTCTCTGTATGGTAAATATTCTGAGTCCTTCTATGTCTGGACATTTCTTTTACTCTCATTCTTGAGTGATCTTTAACTGAGTTGAGAATTCTTGTTTCAGCACTTTGAAGCCACTGATTCTTTATCTTCCTATATCCAGGGATGCTATTAAACCAGTGGTCAGTGAGTCTTTTTTTCTTTGGGGGTGACCTGCTTTATTTTTCCCTAATAATGGCAGTTTCTGAGTGTTCTCTTTTTTGTCTTAGAAATTTATTATATATCTCTCTATTCAGTTGTGTGAATTTTTTGTCTATTATTTTCTCAAATAGTATCTTTTTTTAAATCTTCCTCTTCCCATCTTCCTATTAAAAATGAAGATGATTTGACTCTTGCCTTCTATGTGTTCATTTTACTCATGTTTCTCATCTCTTTATCCTTTGCATCAGGTATGTTGAGACATTTCTCCAGCTCAACACTGAAGCTTACAATTTCCAATCCACCAAAACTTTTCTTTATATTTTAAACTGGCTTTGCATTGTCTTTTTGATAGTGTTTTCTATCAATCCCAACATTTGTTAATGGGGATAAACTGCCTCATGTGTCAAATCCACTGTCTTAAATCCAGCCCCATTGCTTTTTTCTTCTGTCTCTCATTCTATCAAGATATAACTGGAGTTGAACAGAAACATAGAAAAAATAGAATAATGTGGTTTTATTGTTAAAATACAATCTGTTGTAAACTTTATTTTACTTGTAGCAATATTCAGTAAGTGACTGTTACTACAGTATGCCAGACACTGTTTTAGGCATTTAGGATATACTAGTGAACAAAAGAGGAAAAAAGAAAATATCCTTGCCCACCTTAGGACATTCCAATGTCTTTTCTAGTATTTTGCTAACACAGTTCCTGTGATACTAAGTTTTTTAAATAATCTGGAGCCTGTACAATAACACATATGACAATTGCTCATTTTTACATACTTATTGATCAACAGTATTTGCTGAATATTCACATATAAGTCACTGTGCAATTTTTTTGTGTGTGGGGCTATAGAGATCCTCAAAGAAAACTAAGGGATCTCATCAAAAACTCAAACCTTAATACATCTTAAAACTATGGTAAAAAATAAACAGATACTTTCAACCTACCATTGGATATTTCTAGAAATATTTCCTGTCTGTGACTCTTACCCCATACTCTCCGGATCTCTGTTCTCATGTATTCTTCTAATGGTGCCATCACCAGGAGCCTGTTTTTCGTGGACCAGAGCCCTCGTCCTGACCTCTACCATCTGGGGTTTGTTGCTTGCATGCTTCCAGCCCACTGAAATGTATATCATCTCCTCTAAACTCTGTGTCAGCATTCTGATCTTGCAAATTATTAACTATCTAATGTGATAAACTAATCTGTACTGATGGGATAGGGTTACAAGGAGCAACTACTGAATGATTCCTAACATTGACTTTCTAGATTAGATGCCCTTGTCTTTTATAAAGTCACTCTAAGAGTGGAAATTGAACGCAAAATTTAATCTTCCCAGTCAATAAAAAAGATATTTTTGGAACAGAACAAAATGCATCGTGTTTTATTTCTTTTTCATTACTGGTGTTGAATATCTCTTCTTCTTCAATAACACACCTTCAATGATACAGGTTGCGTATCCTTTATTCAAAATGCTTGGGATCAGAAGTCTTTCAAATTTTGGAATTTTTAAAATTTTGGAATATTTGCATCTAGATGAGATACCTTGGGGATGCAACCCATGTCTAAACATAAAATTCATTTATGTTTTGTATACACCTTATACACGTAGCGTAAAGGTAATTTATAGAACATTTTAAAATAATTTTGTGCATGAATCAAAGTTTGTGTACATTGAATTATCAGAAAGCAAATTTGTCACTATCTCAGCTACGCATTGGTCAATCTGTATTTGTTTGGCATCACCTTCATTCCTGACTCTGAATTTATATGCTAAAAATAAGCAATCATGTTTTTTACACTTATTCAGACATAAATACTTAATAGTAAAAAACATGACATACCATTAATACAGTAAAAAAAATGATGTGTTCAGGGTAACCATGCATCACAGTAGCATCACCAGAATACCTGTATCCCGTGT